>NC_000001.11:68644744-68947774 GCF_000001405.40 Homo sapiens | reverse complement strand
TTAACTTCTAAGTCTCAATATCCTCTTCTATAAATGCAGATAATAATGGTCAGTCCTTTGAGCTGTGAACTTAAATGCAGTAAAATAGGCAAAGCGACTAGCATAGGACAAGGTGCTGAATAAGAACCCCATTAGTGACAGTTATCTTTCCATTCCCTTTTCCCACAGGCAGCAGTTTCACTCATTAGAGATTCATTTGACTTGACATTTATTTTAAAAATTCAAATAATCCTTGGAGGGATAAAGGGCTCCCTTATTGGAGTGTCCTCTGCTGCCTCCTGAAAATAAACATTTTTTCTTATCTATGTCAACACTGCAAGGACTAGCTCAAATGCCACTTTCAGGAAGCGTTGGCATCTCAAGTCCAAAGTGATTTCTCCCTTTTCCAAATTCTCCTGTCATACCACAAATTGGATACTTAATTCATTTCACCTAATTTTATAGCTCTTATTGCAAACACTACATCTCCTGGAGTACATTATTCATCGTAGTGCTTGGAACAATAAAAACATTCAATAAATGATGACCAAATGACTTCAGGCTTACTTGAGTTATCCTAATTGAACTGCTTTCCTCGATTCACCTGACCAAGATCTGTTATGTTAAAGTAAAGGAGTCTCCTACTGAAGGAAGAAGGAGCAAGTTATAATGTCAGACAATTATGACCAGGCTAGGTGGAAGACTACCCAGGACAGGTAGTTTGGAAAAGTACTTAGCAATGTAACGTGCCAGATATCTGAGGTGCATGGATGGGTGTAAATGGGGGGTGAAGACGGAACACAGCAGGTAGAACATTGGGCTAATAGAGTACAGGTTACCTGTTGGAAGCCTTGCCTACAAGGGGGCCCCATGCCCAGGATTCTGTTATATACCTGTGGAGTTGCTTTAAATAGACACAAGACAGAGTCTCAGCCCTTGAAAAGCTTATATCTAGTTAGAAGACAAGGTTTCATTGACATGATAATCAGAGAAGTGGTGAATCTCTGTGTGACCTTGGGCAAGTAATTTAATCTCATTGATTAAAGTGAGACTTCCTCATGTGTAAATTAAATATAATTGTACTGTCTTAGTCTATCCCTGCTGCTGTAACCTAATACCTTCAGCTGGATAATGTGTAAGTAATAGAAATATATTTCTCACAGTTCTGGAGGTTGGAAACACCAAGATCAAGGCACCAGACAATTCTCTGTCTGGTAAGGGCTCACTTTCTGCTTTCAGGATGGCATCTTCTTGCTGTGTTCTCACATGACAGAAGGGCAAAAAAGTGATGAATCCTCCCTCAAACCCTTTTATAAGGGCATTAATCTCATCCCTTTTCAAGCTCTCATGGCCTAATTACCTCCCACAGGCCCTACCTCTGAATACCATCACCTTGAAGTTTAAGTTTCAACAATAAAATTTGGAAGGACTCATACATTCAAACCATAGCAAGTTCTTATTTCATATGTTTGTTATGAGTATTAAATGAGATAATCCACATGCCATGCTTAGAATGTTACCATATGGTAAGCATTCAGCAGATATTAGGTATTACTACATTAACATTGTATTGCAATTGTGTATTTAATAATGTAACCCATATATCCCCATGTCTCACCTGCCAGTAAGTATAACTATGTGAAAATTACAAAAATATCCCAAAGTGCAATGGTCCAATATTTTATACTCTTGACTAATAGGAAATATTGTCTTTCTCCCCAATTCTACTCACCAAGAGTCCTTGGGCATGGGGAGAAATGTGACCCTCACAAAGAACCTCCTCTGCTGCTTGCAGTTCTGTGACCCTTCTGCTCTGATGACTGCTCCTTCGGAGGTTCCTCTGCTTGCTGAAGAAAAGAGGCCACTGCTGGTTCCCTTGAAGACCTTGTCTGGACTGCTGACCTTGGTGCTCTTCTCCCTCTCCAGAAAGCAACAAGTCTTCTGCTTCTGGAGAGGAGCAGATTATTTGGGCAAGAATCTAATCTAACCTAATGATGATGTTTGTCTTGTACCACTGTCGTCTCCTTCATAGGACACTTGGACAGTGAGTAAATTGCATATAATTGTACTGTCTTAGTCTATCCTTGAGTTTCAGAGGACCATCAGCTTCACACAGCTGCATCAAGGCCTTGAGTTTCATGGATTCTGGCAGGGAGAGATTGCAAGGGGACAGGGAAAGCTCTAACAGTTATTTTCCTTCATATGATTTTCCTTCATCATTATCTCTTTCTCTATATGCCTGAACCCCATTGCTGGCCAGAGTCACATTCTGTCACGTCTTTGGAGTCCCATGTGAACCCCAAAGATGGGCATCTTTCTCAGTATCTGCAAATTTTCTCTGACTGTTGGAAGGCTGGTTACCAGAGCACACTCAAGACCCTAGCGGGTATGATAGTTTACTCACAGGTCTGTCTATCAAAGTCCAATCTGACCCACATGTGGACAATTGCCTGAGTCCCTCACTATAAAGTGAGCTCTGCAGAGGCAGACATTATGTCTATTGAGTTTATGACTTAATATTTAGCACCTGCCATAATACCTGGGATGCTGTGTGTAATGGCACAATAAGTATATGAGAAAGGAAGAACATAGACAGGGAAGAGAAGGAGGAAAGAAAATCTGGTTGGGTCTGCTTTGCCCAGAAAGTCATTTTGGGAGAGGTGGGTCTTCAGTTAGGTCTAAAAAATGATTTTTTTTAATACAAAGGGTTAGTCTGGTGCTTCATTTACATCTTTGTATATACAAAGAATAGAAATAAATTATGTCCTTGAGTTGAACAAATTTTTTAGTGAAATTTGTGCTTGTAGGCAATTCTGCTTCAGAGTTATCTCCCTTGCGGCTTATGGCATATTAAGCTGCTAAAAGCTATTTATATCAACAATGCCTCTACAGCCTCAGATGCAAGTGTGGATGCAGATACAGAGAAAAAATTGACTAAGAACAAATTTCACTGCACAAAATGTAAAATTCATTTGAGGATTCATTCAAAAATCATTTACTGAGCATTAGTGCGATGCTGACACTGTATTAGGCATTGAAATATGTGAATGAAAAAGCATAAGGCCTTCCTTCAAGGAGCTTAGAGTATGAAACTAGAAAACAAAAAGGGTCATATAAGGGAAGCATGAACTAGTGAAGTAGAAACATAGAGAAACAGAAACTAAATATGTAATAAAGACAGTCAAGGAGAGCTTTGTGAAGTATTTTCCCAGCTGACTCTAAAGAAGGGCTGCAACACCACCAACAGCAAGAGACACATTTATGGTTCACTTACCCTGCAATATATTAAGAACTTGGTAGGAATTATATTGATTCAACCTAACACTAGCCAGTTGAAGTCACTGGTCTCATTTTCTTTTTTTTTTTTTGAGATAGAGTCTCGCTCTGTCGCCCAGGCTAGAGTGCAAAGGCATCATCTCAGCTCACTGCAACCTTCGCCTCCCAGGTTCAAGCGATTCTCCTGCCTCAGCCTCCCAAGTAGCTGGGATTACAGGTGCAAGCCAGCACGCCCTGCTAATTGTTTTGTATCATTAGTAGGGATGGGGTTTCACCAGGTTGTCCAGGCTGGTCTCGAACTCCTGACCTCGTGATCCACCCACCTGGTCCTCCAAAATCACTGGTCTCATTTTATGGATGAGGAAACTGGAACATTAGGGAATTTAAAGAATTTGCCCAAGATGCCATAGCTATTAAGTTGCAATACCAAGACCCAAGCCCAGATCTCATTGACTCCAAACTCCATGTCTACAGTAACCAGGAATTTTATCCTTGGTGACCTTGAAGAAGGTGTGTTATGATCAAATGAGGTCAAAAATAATAAAGCATGTGAGAACTTTATAGTTCTGAGGAGTAGTGCTGTGATAGGCCATCTTTTAATTTGCATTGCTCAAGTACAAACCCCACTGGACCAGTCATTATTTCATTGCCTGGTGAGCTAGGCAGGACACCTAGAATAAAATGAAAAAAATAAATAAATAAAAAGAATACTTGGAAATTAAAGGCATGACAACAGAAATAAGACATTTCACAAATGAGTTGGCAGATAAAGTTAAGTTCCAAGAAAATAAAAAGATTAAAACTTTGGAAAATAGTAGAGAAAAAATACAAAAATCTGAAGATTGATTCAGGAAGGTGGTTAACAGGATATCTGGAAACAGAAAATTAGAAAAAAAAGATGAAATTAGCATTTAAAAAAAGAAATTTCTCAGAACTGATGGACATCTGTTTCTAAATTGGCAGAGGCCACCCAAATGACCTGCATCAATGAACATTACCTTTTTAAACATTTGGCATCAAGCAAAAATCCTAGAGGCTTATAATAGGAAAAAAAGAGAGAGACCAGATACAAGGGTTCAAAAATTATAATGTATCAGATTTCTAAATATCAACATTATGGGTTAGAAGATACTATTATTTTTCAAAATTTTGAGTAAAAATTATATATTTTAAGTATGCAATTTTATACAGAACAAACATCAATCAAGGATAAGGTACTGAAAGATAATAAATTAGTTAACTTTTGCTGCATAATAACATTACTGCAAATTTATTGGCTGAAAATAACACACATTTATTATCCCACAGTTTCAGTGAGTCAGAAATCCAGGCACAGCTTAGCTGAGTCTTCTCCAAGGTTACCATCAAGGTTTTGGCCAAGACCGTGTTCTTTTCTGGAGGCTTGATTGGGGATGGATCCACTTCCTCTTGTATTTTTGTCAGCAGCATTCAGTTTCTTGAGGAATGCGGACTGAGGGCCTCAGATTCTTGCTGGATGTTGGCCGGTGGCTTTCCTCAGTTCATTGTAACATGGCTTCTACAGGGGACAGCTGTTCACAATTTGTAACTTTTTTCTTTAAAGCCAGGAAAGGGGAAGTCTTCCAGCAAGACAGGTACTACAGTTGTATGTAATGTAATAACAGAAGTGAAATCCTATCCTTCTTTTGTACTCTATTGAATAAGGGGAAGGGATTGTAGAGGTATGGATACCAGGAGGTGGAGATCATGGGGCCATTTTTAGAGTCTGTCAGCCATTGTCCATCATCTGGGCTTCAGTGATTCATGTCCCTTCCCCATGCAAAACACATTCATTCCCTCCCAAGATCTCCAAAACTCTCATCCTATTACAGCATCTATTGAAAGTTCAGAATTTCATTATATAAATTAAGTCCAGGCATGGATGAGTTTCCTTGGATGTAGCTCTTCTTGATGCATGGATCTGCAAAACCAAACAGACAAGTTACCTTCCCCCCACACACTCCAATTATGGTGATTGGACAGGCATAGGATAACAGCTATAGACATTTTCATTTTAAAAAGGAGGATAAATAGTATGCAAGAATCACTGAATCACAGCAATTCTAAAAGCCAGCTTCACAAATGTTGGGAGTTTCTTGATTAGCTTTGAAGATCTAGGAATTATTTTCCCTGGTTCTGGACTTTTAGTTCTACCCTCTGAGTCAAGAAAAGTATAACAAGTATTTGTTACTCAGCAGTTATATTAGCCTGCCTCTTGCCAATAGAATTTAAGTGGTTGATAGCCTCTTTGTGTTTGACACTGTCCCTCTACCTTTCAGTTCAAGCTGGCAGTGGTTTTGCTGAAATAACATTTCCAAAAATGTTTAAATCTTCTATGGTCCAGTCCATCAGGCAAAAGCCACGTTTTTTTCAAGTTCTTCTGCACTTTGGATTCCTTCTGAGATAGGTGAGGGACAATTCCCTTAATATTTCTAAATGCCATATGGTTTGATTGAGAGATTCCAAGAAGCGTACTCTTAGTCTCTTTCAAGGGCTCCTTGTGTGATTGAGTACTACTATGATCCTTTGATCTGAAGTTTTAATAAAAAATTGTACAGGCATACACTTGGATTTTTGTCGAGACTATACTGTTCTAACAGTGCTTGGAAGCCATCTCTTAATTTTAGTGTCTTTTGACATATGGAGAGGCTAAAATTTTTCAGAATAATCAATTTCTGTTTCTTTTTTGTTTACTGTCTTCCCTCACAGTATGTCTCTCCTCACACATTTTACCATAAGCAGCATGAAGATGCTAGGTTGAAACTTCAACACTTTGTTTGGAAATCTTCTCAGCTAAATAAGTCTATTACTTACATGCTCTCCTTCCCAGATGACTGCAGGTCACAATTTCACTAAGCTTTCTGCCACTACATAAGAGGGATGCTCCTTTATCCAGTTTCCAATAATGTGTTACTCACTGCCTCTGAGTCCTCACTGGCAGGATCCTTAAAGTCCAAATTTATAACAGTCTATCAATATTTTTCTGTTATTTTTCTCAAAATTCTTCCAGCCTCCATCCACTGCCAAGTTCCAAAGTCCTTTACACAATTTTTAATATTCATTATAACAATACCCCATTTCCAGGTTCTGAAATCTATATTCATTTCTTTTGCTGTGTAATAATATTACCACAAACTTAGTGACTTAAAACTGTATATTTTAACTATTCAATACATTCTTTGGAGCTGAAGCTTGGGCATGACTTAGCTGGGTTCTCTGCAAGGCTATAGCCAAGATGATAGCTGGGACTTTGTTTTCATCTGAAAGTCTGACTGGGAAGGATTTGCTCCCACATTCTCATGTTTGTTGGCCACATTCAGTTCCTGCAGGATGTCAAACTGAGGACATCAGTTGCTTGCTGAGTGTCAGCCAGAGGCTGCCGTCACCACCTCACTATGTGACCCTCTCCATAGTACATCTCACAGTATGGAAGCTTTTTTTTTTTTTGAAGCCAGTAAGAAAGAAAGCCTTCTAGTAAGATGAGCATTATGCATTACAATCTTATGTAATATAATCATGGAACTGACAATCCATCATCTTTGCCATATTATATTGGATGAAAGCAAGCTTCTTCATCCCCACCAATGCAAGGGCATGAATATCAGGACGTAGGAATAATGGCAGTAACTTAGAATCTCTCTACCATGGATATGTTCTACCAAAATGAATGTAGTAAACCAAGAAAGATGAAGATCCAGGATCCAGGAAACAGTTTATAAGTTAGAGGAATCCTAGAAGGAAAGTGAAAGAAAATCCCAGGGTGGCAGCTGTGCAGTAAAACCAGAATGCAGATTGTCCGGATTAGAAAAGAAAAAGAGAGGGCTCCAGGAGGGATAGTAATATTAAAAGAAATAGAGCAATAGATTACTCTACCACTTTGACATAATTGAGAGGTGTTTCATTGTTGTATTGGAGAGTTTGGTGATGAATTCATGGTACATAAAAAGAAAACTGAACAAACAAAGAAAAGAAATAATTAGCCACTTCAGGAAAAATTAAAAGTTGAAGAAAGAAAATACAATGATAGTACACCCCTTAGTTGAGGTATGAACAGAGTTGAGAGTCAGAATAATAAACATACTACATTTTTGTTCAATCTAAATGGTGATAGAAATACACTCAGAGGAGGGGTGGAATAAAAATTGGGTGAGACTATGGTGACTGGAGGGAAGTGAGAACCCTAAGCCTCATCTTCCATGAGTTCAAAATGCATAAATAACCTCAAAACTGGAAAAAGCAAGAAACAGCAATAGATAGCTAATTTTAGAAATATGGTATTAAATACCAGAAGAAACAGTGAAATGTGCATAAAGAGACTGTCCTCATGGAGTGAGAATCAGATGAAAGGATATTTAGAGACAGAAACTCCTGCTTTTCTATGATCAGCCTTGAAGCGCTAACTAACATTTTGGACAATATACATGTATTACTGAAATAAAAATTGAAATTAAGTTAAAAATTTCAACAAACAAAAAGAAAAAGAAATTATGATTTAATATAGCTCTGCAGAAAAAATTTAAGAAGCCTTTACGGGATGTAACTAAATTGCTCTTCCCTCTTTCCCCAGTCCTATAGCATTGGTGGTGTTATCAGTAATGAATTATACTGAGAGGAGGTTTTGGTATGAAATGTTCTAGAACCTTAGCACAACGCACCAATGGGGAGCAGAGCATTCTAGGATTACATGTAGCCTCAGTCACTCCAGATTATTGCATGGGCTGGAAAAATCAGGCTGTGAGGCTGATGAGAGGAATGGCAGTTTTACAAAGCCAGGTGTTGGGGGCCCTCATCAATGGGAGAAGAGAGTTAGAAGAACTTAATTTTATAAGAGAATATTGTGGGGAGAAATTCCAGACTGTTTGTGGAAAGATTCCAACTAATTACAGAGTAACTTAGAATGGAATACAGATCCTTAAGAGAGGAAGTATGTGGGAGTGACCCAGTGGTCAGATTTCCCATGAGAAGATGTGAGATTTCAGGAAGAGTTCCAGTTCATGTGGAGTGCTGGTGGAGTGCTGGGCAAAGAACCCAGTTTAAAAATACACTCCTATGAAATGGACCAGAAGAGAGGAAATGCAAGTAGGATTCTATAACTCAAGAGATTACACAGAGCCATAGGCCTTATCTTTAACTCTTCAGATAGTCAAAAATAAATCTTCAATCCAATACTAACCATATTGGAGAACCATGTTCTCTGTCCCTGCCTCAGTTAGCTCAGAAATCTGGGTAGACACTGGGCCCTGACTTATTGATTGAGTTCATCATTCAATGCAATTCTAGAGGACTGAACAGTCATGGCAGAAGGAAAAAGTGTCAATTACATTTTCATTGCATTCACTTACAACAAAGTAATAACACCAAGTGTCAGCAAAAATAGCCTGTATATAGTGAGGGTGAAATATTTAAACAGCACAATCTTGGGCTTCTAGATTTAGAGTGAAGAAATGATCTTTGAAAATATGACTTAAGGAGAAATAACAACTTATTTCTATTCTGTGGGTAGTTATTATTGGTGTGGTATTCAGTTTGGAAATAGATATTTCTCAACAGAAATATCAAGAATGTTTGTAAAGCAACTTTTTCAGCAGTAGCTAAAGGTAGACACTAGAATGGGTAAGTCACAATGACAATTACAGTTAAAATTCCAAATCCCAGAGTGGGCAGGTCACGTAAGTAGAATTCACAAAAGAAGGCAGCTTATAAAGCCAATTTCTACCCTGCCGTTTGTTACCCATCCTGTTTAAATCCCAGGACATATGTAATAGAGGAGTTGAGAACACCATAGATTAACCTTGTAATGATGTCTTGAGACCCACTTCTCACAATGTATCTAGGCATGCCAGCCCATAACCATCACTACTTGTCAACTTGAGAAATCATCCAAGGCCCTGATCTCTGACACACCAATTGAACATGAACCTGGAGAGATTATAATGGCCTTGAACAAAGTGAGATCAAACCTACCCAACCAAGCAACAGCGACAGCAGTTCTAATTAAAGGCCGTTTGGAGAGAAGAGTTATGGCTGTCTGAGAGGCATGGGAGTATGCAGTGACAGGTCCATGTGCTACAAGGATCAGCAGAGATATTACCTTTACAGGGCTGCATGAGCTCCTGCTTCCGACCCAAATCCCCATTGGCAGGCCATGTTCTACAATAACCTGCTGCCTTTAATGATGCTCTTTCTTCTGTTGCTTTTAACTCACCGGGTACAGTGTCATCACAGAAAGGCAGAGAGAACAAGAAGCTGAAAATATCCTTTTAGAACATCAGCACTGATCAGGACAGATATTTTTAGTAAGCGATTGTCTGTCAAATGTGAGTCACATGGCATGCCACTTTAATGATCTGAGAGTTTGCAATTCCCTAAAAAGTGACAGCTGCAAATGAGAATTTAGGTGGTACCACCAGGCAAGCAGAACATTGATCAAACCTATTGACAGGCTCTCTAATCAAAGTAAAGTGTTGGTGGAGATGCCGAGTCTAAAATCCTCCTCTCAGTGATGAAGGACTTTCTGGCCAGGCATTTTCAGTGTTAACATGGAAGATCCATTGCTATGTGACTCTGGCTAATGTCTTCAAGAGCCTGTCAGGCTTTTACTGTTTACTATTTTTAAGATATTTTTCCTTCTTATAAATATGTGATGGCACAACATTTCAAAAATAAAGTGTGAATCGCTGTACATTATGTTCTGTGAATTTTTTAAAAATTAAAATTGATATATAATAGTTGTACATACTTTTGAGATACAGGTGCTATTTTGATACAATGTGTAATGAGCAAATCAGGGTAACTGAGGAATCTATTAACTCAAATATTTATCTTTTTTGTGTGTATTGGGAACATTATGATTCTTTTCTTCTAGATATTTTAAAATATACAATAAGTTATTGTTAACTATGATTTCCCTACTGTCCTACCAATACTAGTACTTATTTTTTCTCTCTAATTGTATCTTTGTAACCCTTAACAAACTTCTCTTCATTCTTCCCTTCCCACTCCCATTCTCAGCCTAAGGTAACCACCATTCTACTCTCTACCTCCATGAGATCCATTTTTTTATCTCCCACATATGAATGAGAACATGTGATAGTTGTCTTTCTGTGCCTGGCTTATTTCACTCCCATAATGACCTCCATGAAATGTTAAATGGAAGTTCTTGGTTCATCTGTCTTATCTGTTATTGACAGGTTGCAGCAAGAATCAAAGGAGGTACCCATTCTCCCTAGTCCTGCTCCATGCCCTATGCCACCTTGCCCATGTGACTAGTCACCTATTGTCTTCTAACAAAGAGATCTTTTACCTTGGCTTCATATTATCCATGGAGACGTCTTGAGGAGTACCCATGAAGAACCTGTCTGAGGCTACTTCTTTTTGGTAAAGATACAGTTGAATAAAGCTTTTGAGAAGGCTTCTTAAAGGAGTGAATAGTTTTGGTTACAAAGCTCTGTGCTGCATCTCAGTTTCCCTCAAAGGCATTAACATCAAGCTAGAATCATAATAGCAAGTTTTCAGGAATGCGTCTGAGCTCATCCTTTCCCTTGTTCTGTTCTCTACAAGGACTGTTAGTTTATGGCTCCAATTTTATTATTAATATCTTTGGATCTTAAATCTGCTCAAAACCATGACAATCACTTTCAGATTTTTAACCAACTTTCTTTTCCTAACTTCAGACATTCTCTTGCCCTATTGGGTTATAAACAGTCCTGTCCAGAACTCTGGTTTTCGTACTACCTCTCGTAAACCACTGTGCTAACTCCTCATCAGAATTTCCATTACTAAGTCATTGCCCTAGAGCTCTGCTAAATCTCTTAGGATTAAACATAAATTTTCTGAAATTCTTACTACATGATTTCCTGGTTCTTCAAAATGCTTGCCTATTCACATCTATATCAGTATGGCATACTTGCTCACAATGGAAATAAAATTACATAGTATTTTCGACAATGAAATTGTTCATGAATTCTTATGTAATCACTTTCATGGAAAAAATGGGGCTGGAAATCTACCCCATAGTTTGCCAGTACTACTGGGAAAACCTGAAATATTAGATAAGCACTCTGAACATAAATTTATATTAAGGAGTATAATTAACAGAAATGCTACAAAGCACATTTATTAACACTCAGTATATAGACTATGTTTATATGTTGAAAACTCCTGATGATCTCTACTCTGTAAAGCTAACCACTTTACCTGAAAATACCTGTGCTTTCCTGGCTGGAAATTTGGAATCTACTTGCTGTGGTTCCCAGGACTCCAGTACAGATGTTAAATTCTTTCTTTTGCCAGATTTCTGAATGAGAAAATCTTTTGGAATATTTTACTTAATGTATCCCTTTCCCACAAAAGAACATATACTGAATTTTGAATCTGGGCAGAAAACCCTCACTGATCTCTGCTTCAGCACTGATTTCTTAGCTCAAGGAATATTCAGATGCAATATCTGAAGGTAGTATTTTTTCTTTGGAATCATAATAGCCATATTAGTGCTAAAATATTAGTGCAACAGATATCTATTATTACACCAATCCCTCATTCTATATCTAAGCATTGAGCCAACTTTGAGCTTTACCTCAACCTTTACCTCTTCCTCAGCCTCAATATTTCCTTGAGTCTTCCTCATCACTCTATCCCTAATGTTACCTCTTTTCTCCATTTCTTTGATTCCATGAAGGCATGGAATACTATTTTACTCCATGAATCTATCAACTTGCAATTTTTCCTATTCTGTCTCTTCAGTTCCAACAGCAGAACACCACCATTCCATTAGAAAAAGGAGATCTCAGTTTGTTTTCCTATTAGTTCCTATATTCATTTTGGGCAATTCTGGGAGACTTCCATTGTCTCCATGAAGAGTCATTTCTGGCTGCCTCTGAGCCACTCTTTCTCGATATTCCTCACCCCTCCCCAGGCCTCTCTCTCTACGGTGTCACAATGACATGTGTTGCCTTTCCCAAAAAAGTAACTGTCATTTCTGTATCCACCTTATTAAGCCAGGGTTTTGAGCATTTACTTGAAAATCAAAGTTTAACATGAGGAATTCTAAGAAGGTAATGATTACATCAGTGATTTGAGAAGGAAAATAAGTGGAAGAAAGGGAAAACCCTCAATTAGAAAAGAACCAGTGTGGCCCCTAAAGTAATGAGGAGAAATCTCACTGTTCTGATATGTATCTATTTAGTCCTATAACTCTTTAAGTAGTTCTTCAACTTGGTATCCAACGATGCCAAATCATTAATAGCTTTCTAAGGATAAATTTCTCCACAGTTTTGCATATGCTATTCTCCTGAGCAGAATTCTGCATCCCTGGCCCTGCTGATTGAATATTTCCTTTGTTGTGCTTTGGGCCTCTTGATAAGCCACCACATCCTATTTGAATATTCAGCACAAATGTCACCAATTACTTGGTGACATTGAAGCCAACTATTGCTTATTCCAACCGCCTGGCATATATCCCTCACCAATGCGGCACTCATCCCACTCTACTGAAGCAGCTTGTTCATTTGCCCATTAGGTGTGAGGTTTTTGAGGTCACAGACTTAATTGTTGTGTCCCAGCTTGTGGCACGGTGCATGACATGGAGCACAGGCTCAATAAATGAACAGTCCCCAGGAAATATTTTCAGCAGGCATCAGTCTGCATGACTCCTTCAGGTTCCCCTTCAACCTTCCAGTTACTTTTGAACCTTTTTTAAAGTCAGTATCTTAGTCAGATTGGGCAGCTATAACAAAATACCATAGCATAGGTGGCTGATCAACAACAGAAATGTATTTTTTACAGTTCTGGAGGCTGGAAGTAAGAGATCATGGTGATACCATGGTCAGGTTCTGGTGAGGGATCTCTTTCAGATTGCACATAGCTGACTTCTTGCATCATTGCACGGTGGAAGGAGACTGAGGTAGTTCCTTGCCTCTTCTTGTAAGGACACTAATCCCCTTAATGAGGTTCCACCCTCATAACCTAGTTATCTCCTAAAAGCCCCATCTTCAAATACCATCATATGGGTGACATTGCAGGTAAACTTGTAATGACATTACAGATAAACAGACACACTGAGTTATAATAGGTAGAATTAGTAATGTCATACAACCTCAGACATCTGAAAAGGAAAGTTAATACAGCAGAAAAATAAGATATCCCATTAGAAAAGAGATAAGAATATTGATAGGCATTTGGACTTATAGCTTCCTCTTACAGAGTAAGCTTGACATAGTCAGGCATCTTGATGTTTATGCTTGGTGGATATATAGGACAGCTTCTGACTCAGCATGTTAATTCTAGAAAGACAAAAATCTTTCCAGAAAGATTGACATTCAATAAATTGCTCCAATGGTCAAAAAAGGATATAAAGATAGAAGAAGCATCAACATAAAAATTTGCATTAAGAAAAAAATAAAATAACTCTGAAGCTGGAAGGGAAAAATGCCCAATACAAATTCAAATTTTTTTACTGTCTTTTATAGAACAAGACAGCCCTATACAAGTCCTCACAGCAGGACCACAGCTGGTACCTCTAGCAATGCCTGGGAAGCCTTCGTTCTTTGTATTTTAAAAAAGCAGCTCATGAAAACCCAGCATCCATTTCAAGCAATTGTAATTGGTAAGAACCAAAAAATGTGAAATTTTATTGTTCATGAAATTGGTTTTTCAAATAGGAAGCCTCACGCTGCAGAGATCTCTTGTTTGTGACACAAGAGTCTTCAGAGAAAGTTGAATGAATGTACGTGGATGGAGTCCTTGTAGGTCAAAATGGTTACATTGTCTTGAATGAGGACTTGGCCCTCAACTGCTCTCATGGTATTTGCAAACTACCAGTGACAGATTTTAAGAAGACTATGCTATGGATGCTGAATTACCGGACATTCTGCTCACTGGGAATGTTTACATAGGGTGATTTAAAGGGATGTTTCCAATACTGCAAACTTTCCTCTTGAGAAACAAGTATAATGTACTGATTGTTTTTTTACCTCAGGGATGAAAAAGAATCTGTGTAGTGAGATGTGGAGAGAAACCTATAAAGAGAAACCTAAAGAAAACAAACTACAAAAGAAGAGTAGTTCAAAGTTTCTAAGTAGCTCCTAGACTTCAAACTAAAATGGAAGATTCAGTATGATTATGCCTGCATCCAACTCGAGTTACTGAATTCATAAAATTACAAAATAATAAAGTAGACTTTTAGAGGATGTACCTGGGAAATTTTTTAACCCCAAAATTCTATTTTCACATGTAAGGAAATTGAAGTACCAAAAGGTTGTGAGTTTTTAAGAAAGTGACAAGAACGATAACTCACATTTTCTCATTATAATTACCATGTTTGCTCCACTATGATATATTCAGTTGCAGGCAATTACACTATTTCTCAAAACCTGGTAAGGTAATTAGATACATTACTTTAATAATTACATACACTGGAAAAAGAATCAAAGTTCTGGTTATAATGGAAAAGACTATCATACATAACACATCTGTAACATAATCCTACACATAAAAGTTCACCTTTTAGTGAATTGTGAATGAAACATTTTGATCTCCATGTTTACTTTTTGTAATATTTTTCAACTTCTTTGCAAACAGATTAGAGAAACAAGGTGCTATCTGTTGGGGACATTCATCCGAAAAGTACATACAATGACCAACACAGTATCAGGCATTTTGAATTTTTATCTCCCCGGACCACAGCTCAATTATTACTGAAAATCATTGAGCATTTACTATGGTTCATTCCTCATTTCTCATCCCTTGCTTATTTCTTAAGGTTTCTCTCAGGAAAGAGGGGTTCAGTGAACGTACTGGACCTTATCTGTTGGTTCTCAGCATTTATTCCCGCTGCCTTTCATATAGTTCAGCAATTACAAGCTAGAAAACCACTTAGCACTGGCTGTCTTGCAAATAGGATTGTGTATGCAATTAGGTTTCTTTCAATGAAATGTACTCATTCAAGATTTGGGAAGTGGAAAGCATGTGGGGTCATTTCCCCAAAGTTCCAACACATGTCCATGATGGAGATGACTGTACTCTTTGCTCTGGTGTTCCATGGGTGTGAGGCAGCTGTGACTGTGACTGCAGCACCCGTAGAGTCTTGATGGTTTTCAACTGCAGGAGCTAGATCTTGCAATCAGTAGTTCACTAGCAGACCTCCTGACTTTGCTTCTCCATAGACCCTCCAATCATTTTATAAGCACCTAATTCCTTACATTAAATCCCTTACTTCTAGAAAGACATGGAATTGTTTCTTTTCCCTGCACTAACTCCTAATAGGGTAACCATCGGAAAGAGAAACCTTCCAGCATCTCAAATCCTTTGCCTGATTTATTTCCATAAATAAATGGAAATAAATGGGAAAGGATGGGAGGAAGACATTGTCACAGGAGCCTGAACCATGGGCAGAGTCTGGATTGTTGAGAGAGGACACAGTAATAAACCAAGAGCCTGGAGTGGGAAGGCAATTCCTATTTATTTATTACCTACTGATTTTTGGATAAAGACTCAAATCTTTAAGATGGCCCATAAGAAAAGCCTTTGTGGCTTCCTTCCTAGCTCTATGCTCTGTAGACACTTGACTTTGTTTTGGGTCCTTGAACCATCATGTCTTCTCCCATTTTAAAGAATTTGTAAATGCTCTAGCTTTTCACTGAAATACATGCCTTACCTATCACTCCCCTCTCTTCCCACTCCACCTTTTCCCTAAAGCCCTGCTGTCTGCACTGGTGCTCTTTACATACTCCATTCCTCCCCTTTTTTTCTGATCTCATTTCAAATTTCAGTTCCTCAAGGAAACCTTGCCCTAATCCCAGAGACCAGATGAAGATCTTCCTTTATACATTTTATAGCACTTAACACAGTTTGTATTTGTACTCTGTGTACAGGTACCAGCTGTTCCCACTGCATTCTTTCTGAAATCGCAACCCACAGAATCATGAGATAAAATAGTAATAAAATGTTTTAAGCTACTAAATTTTGGGATAGTTGTCTATAGCAATAGATAACTGGAAAAATCTACCTCATATTAATTGTTTTGATTGAAAAATTTATTTGTTGGCAAGCACTGGTTGAATGAATGAATTTCTAATTAAATAGATACATTTTAAAGTAATGAGTGCCCATTCTATTCCTGACAGATTAGCAATGATAAGCAAGGTTGATCATATCTATCACATTAAAAAGACTACAGCAAAATAATATTCTTAGATATCATTGGCAGAAATGTAAATTGGAACAACCTCTTGGAGAACAATTTAGAAATCTCTGTTAGAAGGCTAAACACCTATTTGCTTTAGTCATGCTAGTCTACTTCTAGGAAGGTATCCCACAGACATACTCATATGAGTGCAGAAACATATGCTCAACTACATTCCCTACGGAGTTCTTTGTGATGGTAAAATCCTGGAAATAATATAAATGCCTATCAATAGAAGACTACTTACATAGATTATGATATATCTATTAAATGGAAGAATTTCCCTTTATTGATAAGTGTGAAGTAAAACCTATAAGTACTGATATCAAATTATCTCTGAAATGCATTGTTAAATGAGAAAAGCAAGATGCAGAATACTACTCATTGTAAAAAAAAATGTGTAAAATAAATGGATAAGTGGTTTGTGTATAAGCACACTATTTTTAGGAAGCTGATTAAGAAACTGATGACATTGATTGCCATTGGGAGGTGGAGCAGGGGTCTGGAATAGTGGAAAATTTACTTTTAACTCAGCACACATTGGTACTGTTAGTTCTTTTTCCACATATGCTTGTTTTACTGTTTCAATTTAGAAGGACTCCAGCACCTTATTAATCAAAATTATCAACAGATACATAAGAGTACAAAAAGCTGTTATTGCAAAGACATCATGCTAGATGTTTTCTAAAACTCACAACAGTCATCTCTAACAAAGAATAGACAAGCTAAGGAATGTTTCAAGTGAGAATAAACCATTTCTCTCTGGAATTCTGGAAAATTAGTAAACCTTAAGAGTTTTGCAACCTTATTTCAAGCCTTCTAGCTCTTAACTTTTGAGGCTCAGTTTTTTTTTTCCTGGAATGTAATTCAGAATAATGTTCATATAATCACACATCTTTACATTTGTTTGCAAGCAAAAGCCCAAAAGGACTTGCAGGCAGCATTGTGATACTAGATTTGCCTTCAGCTTTCCCACTTTAATCAAAGTTACCACCAGATGGGCTTCTTTTCAAGCATTTCTATTAATGCATCACAGATTAATTAAGTTTTAAAACCTGGCACAGATTTCTTCACAATTTTTTTAAAATTAAATTACCAGCAAATCCCTCCTTCGCCATTACCTGCCATTCAGTGTCTTTGTAAAAATAATTGGCTTTATAAATAATTCAGATCTGTCTATTATTTTCATGAGTAAATGCAAGATCTCCACAAAGCCTATTTATATTGTCTATTATTTTCATGAGTAAATGCAAGATCTCCACAAAGACTATTTGTATTATTTATTTTTCAAAAAGCTAAAATGATTGCTTGGATAAGGCATAGGGGGAAGAAAAACTTCCCTATTGAATTAATGTAATGCAAAGATCCAGAACTGAAAGCAATGATAAAAGATGTTTCTTGCTCTATTATTTTTGTTTTCATGCTGCTTCCTTCTCCATAATTAAAAAAAAATAAGTTACTCGAATCTGCTTTATTTTTTTAAAGAAACACAGTTGAATTTTTTTTCCTTTCCTTTCCTATTTTTAGTTTCTTTCTCCTTCCTTCTCTTCTCTCCTTTCAGTTATAACTCCACGCTATAATATGCAATCACATTCTATTTTAATAAGCCTTGATTTATATTCATCCTTAAAATTCTTTATTTCTACATGAAGTCTTACTCATGTACCAAAATTGATACTGAATGCATCTTTTTTCTAAGTTCTGAAGCTCTAAAGTACTTTCCAACAGGATGATAAGATGTAACTCTATCATTTTCTGGCATATATTTTTTAATCATTTTGTGCCTACAAAGGTGGTGTACTAGTTTTCTTTTTTTTTTTTTTATTATACTTTAAGTTTTAGGGTACATGTGCACATTGTGCAGGTTAGTTACATATGTATACATGTGCCATGCTGGTGCTCTGCACCCACTAACTCGTCATCTAGCATTAGGTATATCTCCCAATGCTATCCTTCCCCCCTCCCCCCACCCCACCACAGTCCCCAGAGTATGATATTCCCCTTCCTGTGTCCATGTGATCTCATTGTTCAATTCACACCTATGAGTGAGAATATGCAGCGTTGGGTTTTTTGTTCTTGCGATAGTTTACTGAGAATGATGATTTCCAATTTCATCCATGTCCCTACAAAGGACACGAACTCATCATTTTTTATGGCTGCATAGTATTCCATGGTGTATATGTGCCACATTTTCTTAATCCAGTCTATCATTGTTGGACATTTGGCTTGGTTCCAAGTCTTTGCTATTGTAAATAATGCCGCAATAAACATACGTGTGCATGTGTCTTTATAGCAGCATGATTTATAGTCATTTGGGTATATACCCAGTAATGGGATGGCTGGGTCAAATGGTATTTCTAGTTCTAGATCCCTGAGGAATCGCCACACTGACTTCCACAATGGTTGAACTAGTTTACAGTCCCACCAACAGTGTAAAAGTGTTCCTATTTCTCCACATCCTCTCCAGCATCTGTTGTTTCCTGACTTTTTAATGATTGCCATTCTAACTGGTGTGAGATGGTATCTCATGGTGGTTTTGATTTGCATTCTCTGATGGCCAGTGATGATGAGCATTTTTTCATGTGTTTTTTGGCTGCATAAATATCTTCTTTTAAGAAGTGTCTGTTCATGTCCTTCACCCACTTTTTGATGGGGTTGTTTTTTTCTTGTAAATTTGTTTGAGTTCATTGTAGATTCTGGATATTAGCCCTTTGTCAGATGAGTAGGTTGCGAAAATTTTCTCCCATTTTGTAGGTTGCCTGTTCACTCTGATGGTAGTTTGTTTTGCTGTGCAGAAGCTCTTTAGTTTAATTAGATCTCATTTGTCAATTTTGGCTTTTGTTGCCATTGCTTTTGGTGTTTTGGACATGAAGCCCTTGCCCATGCCTATGTCCTGAATGGTAATGCCTAGGTTTTCTTCTAGGGTTTTTATGGTTTTAGGTCTAACGTTTAAATCTTTAATCCATCTTGAATTGATTTTTGTATAAGGTGTAAGGAAGGGATCCAGTTTCAGTTTTCTACATATGGCTAGCCAGTTTTCCCAGCACCTTTTATTAAATAGCGAATCCTTTCCCCATTTCTTGTTTTTCTCAGGTTTGTCAAAGATCAGATAGTTGTAGATATGCGGCATTATTTCTGAGGGCTCTGTTCTGTTCCATTGATCTATATCTCTGTTTTGGTACCAGTACCATGCTGTATTGGTTACTGTAGCCTTGTAGTATAATTTGAAGTCAGGTAGTGTGATGCCTCCAGCTTTGTTCTTTTGGCTTAGGATTGACTTGGCGATGCGGGCTCTTTTTTGGTTCCATATGAACGTTAAAGTAGTTTTTTCCAATTCTGTGAAGAAAGTCATTGGTAGCTTGATGGGGATGGCATTGAATCTATAAATTACCTTGGGCAGTATGGCCATTTTCATGATATTGATTCTTCCTACCCATGAGCGTGGAATGTTCTTCCATTTGTTTGTATCCTCTTTTATTTCCTTGAGCAGTGGTTTGTAGTTCTCCTTGAAGAGGTCCTTCACGTCCCTTGTAAGTTGGATTCCTAGGTATTTTATTCTCTTTGAAGCAATTGTGAATGGGAGTTCACTCATGATTTGGCTCTGTTTGTCTGTTGTTGGTGTATAAGAATGCTTGTGATTTTTGTACATTGATTTTGTATCCTGAGACTTTGCTGAAGTTGCTTATCAGCTTAAGCAGATTTTGGGCTGAGACAATGGGGTTTTCTAGATATACAATCATGTCGTCTGCAAACAGGGACAATTTGACTTCCTCTTTTCCTAATTGAATACCCTTTATTTCCTTCTCCTGCCTGATTGCCCTGGCCAGAACTTCCAACACTATGTTGAATAGGAGTGGTAAGAGAGGGCATCCCTGTCTTGTGCCAGTTTTCAAAGGGAATGCTTCCAGTTTTTGCCCATTCAGTATGATATTGGCTGTGGGTTTGTCATAGATAGCTCTCATTATTTTGAAATACATCCCATCAATACCTAATTTATTGAGAGTTTTTAGCATGAAGCGTTGTTGAATTTTGTCAAAGGCTTTTTCTGCATCTATTGAGATAATCATGTGATTTTTGTCTTTGGCTCTGTTTATATGCTGGATTACATTTATTGATTTGCGTATATTGAACCAGCCTTGCATCTCAGGGATGAAGCCCACTTGATCATGGTGGATAAGCTTTTGGATGTGCTGCTGGATTCGTTTTGCCAGTATTTTATTGAGGATTTTTGCATCAATGTTCATCAAGGATATTGGTCTAAAATTCTCTTTTTTGGTTGTGTCTCTGCCCGGCTTTGGTATCAGAATGATGCTGTTCTCATAAAATGAGTTAGGGAGGATTCCCTCTTTTTCTATTGATTGGAATAGTTTCAGAAGGAATGGTACCAGTTCCTCCTTGTACCTCTGGTAGAATTCGGCTGTGAATCCATCTGGTCCTGGACTCTTTTTGTTGGTCAACTATTGATTATTGCCACAATTTCAGCTCCTGTTATTGGTCTATTCAGAGATTCAACTTCTTCCTGGTTTAGTCTTGGGAGAGTGTATGTGTCCAGGAGTTTATCCATTTCTTCTAGATTTTCTAGTTTATTTGCGTAGAGGTGTTTGTAGTATTCTCTGATGGTAGTTTGTATTTCTGTGGGATCAGTGGTGATATCACCTTTATCATTTTTTATTGTGTCTATTTGATTCTTCTCTCTTTTTTTCTTTATTAGTCTTGCTAGTGGTCTATCAATTTTGTTGATCCTTTCAAAAAACCAGCTGCTGGATTGATTGATTTTTTGAAGGGTTTTTTGTGTCTCTATTTCCTTCATTTCTGCTCTGATTTTAGTTATTTCTTGCCTTCTGCTAGGTTTTGAATGTGTTTGCTCTTGCTTCTCTAGTTCTTTTAATTGTGATGTTAGGGTGTCAATTTTGGATCTTTCCTGCTTTCTCTTGTGGGCATTTAGTGCTATAAATTTCCCTCTACACACTGCTTTGAATGCGTCCCAGAGATTCTGGTATGTTGTGTCTTTGTTCTCATTGGTTTCAAAGAACATCTTTATTTCTGCCTTCATTTCATTAAGTACCCAATAGTCATTCAGGAGCAGGTTGTTCAGTTTCCATGTAGTTGAGCGGTTTTGAGTGAGATTCTTAATCCTGAGTTCTAGTTTGATTGCACTGTGGTCTGAGAGATAGTTTGTTATAATTTCTGTTCTTTTACATTTGCTGAGGAGAGCTTTACTTCCAACTATGTGGTCAATTTTGGAATAGGTGTGGTGTGGTGCTGAAAAAAATGTATATTCTGTTGATTTGAGGTGGAGAGTTCTGTAGATGTCTATTAGGTCCACTTGGTGCAGAGCTGAGTTCAATTCCTGGGTATCCTTGTTGACTTTCTGTCTCGTTGATCTGTCTAATGTTGACAGTGGGGTGTTAAAGTCTCCCATTATTAATGTGTGGGAGTCTAAGTCTCTTTGTAGGTCACTCAGGACTTGCTTTATGAATCTGGGTGCTCCTGTATTGGGTGCATATATATTTAGGATAGTTAGCTCTTCTTGTTGAATTGATCCCTTTACCATTATGTAATGGCCTTCTTTGTCTCTTTTGATCTTTGTTGGTTTAAAGTCTGTTTTATCAGAGACTAGGATTGCAACCCCTGCCTTTTTTTGTTTTCCATTTGCTTGGTAGATCTTCCTCCATCCTTTTGTTTTGAACCTATGTGTGTCTCTGCATGTGAGATGGGTTTCCTGAATACAGCACACTGATGGGTCTTGACTCTTTATCCAATTTGCCAGTCTGTGTCTTTTAATTGGAGAATTTAGTCCATTTAGATTTAAAGTTAATATTGTTATGTGTGAATTTGATCCTGTCATTATGATGTTAGCTGCGGATTTTGCTCGTTAGTTGATGCAGTTTCTTCCTAGTCTCGATGGTCTTTACATTTTGGCATAATTTTGCAGTGGCTGGTATTAGTTGTTCCTTTCCATGTTTAGCGCTTCCTTCAGGAGCTCTTTTAGGGCAGGCCTGGTGGTGACAAAATCTCTCAGCATTTGCTTGTCTGTGAAGTATTTTATTTCTCCTTCACTTATGAAGATTAGTTTGGCTGGATATGAAATTCTGGGTTGAAAATTCTTTTCTTTAAGAATGTTGAATATTGGCCCCCACTCTCTTCTGGCTTGTAGGGTTTCTGCCGAGAGATCTGCTGTTAGTCTGATGGGCTTCCCTCTGAGGGTAACCCGACCTTTCTCTCTGGCTGCCCTTAACATGTTTTCCTTCATTTCAACTTTGGTGAATCTGACAATTATGTGTCTTGGAGTTGCTCTTCTCGAGGAGTATCTTTGTGGCGTTCTCTGTATTTCCTGAATCTGAACGTTGGCCTGCCTTGCTAGACTGGGGAAGTTCTCCTGGATAATATCCTGCAGAATGTTTTCCAACTTGGTTCCATTCTCCACATCACTTTCAGGTACACCAATCAGACGTAGATTTGGTCTTTTCATATAGTCCCATATTTCTTGGAGGCTTTGCTCATTTCTTTTTATTCTTTTTTCTCTAAACTTCCCTTCTCGCTTCATTTCATTCATTTCATCTTCCATTGCTGATAACCTTTCTTCCAGTTGATCGCATCGGCTCCTGAGGCTTCTGCATTCTTCACGTAGTTCTGGAGCCTTGGTTTTCAGCTCCATCAGCTCCTTTAAGCACTTCTCTGTATTGGTTATTCTAGTTATACATTCTTCTAAATTTTTTTCAAAGTTTTCAACTTCTTTGCCTTTGGTTTGAATGTCCTCCCGTAGCTCAGAGTAATTTGATCGTCTGAAGCCTTCTTCTCTCAGCTCGTCAAAGTCATTCTCCATCCAGCTTTGTTCCGTTGCTGGTGAGGAACTGCGTTCCTTTGGAGGAGGAGAGGCGCTCTGCGTTTTTGAGTTTCCAGTTTTTCTGTTCTGTTTTTTCCCCATCTTTGTGGTTTTATCTACTTTTGGTCTTTGATGATGGTGATGTACAGATGGGTTTTTGGTGTGGATATCCTTTCTGTTCGTTAGTTTTCCTTCTAACAGACAGGACCCTCAGCTGCAGGTCTGTTGGAATACCCTGCCTTGTGAGGTGTCAGTGTGCCCCTGCTGGGGGGTGCCTCCCAGTTAGGCTGCTCGGGGGTCAGGGGTCAGGGACCCACTTGAGGGGGCAGTCTGCCCGTTCTCAGATCTCCAGCTGCGTGCTGGGAGAACCACTGCTCTCTTCAAAGCTGTCAGACAGGGACACTTAAGTCTGCAGAGGTTACTGCTGTCTTTTTATTTGTCTGTGCCCTGCCCCCAGAGGTGGAGCCTACAGAGGCAGGCAGGCCTCCTTGAGCTGTGGTGGGCTCCACCCAGTTCGAGCTTCCTGGCTGCTTTGTTTACCTAAGCAAGCCTGGGCAATGGCAGGCGCCCCTCCCCCAGCCTGGCTGCCGCCTTGCAGTTTGATGTCAGACTGCTGTGCTAGTAGTCAGCGAGATTCCGTGGGCCTAGGACCCTCCGAGCCAGGTGTGGGATATAATCTCGTGGTGCGCCGTTTTTTAAGCCGGTCTGAAAAGCGCAATATTCGGGTGGGAGTGACCCGATTTTCCAGGTGCCGTCTGGCACCCCTTTCTTTGACTCGGAAAGGGAACTCCCTGACCCCTTGTGCTTCCCAAGTGAGGCAATGCCTCGCCCTGCTTCGGCTCGCGCAGGGTGCGCGCACCCACTGGCCTGAGCCCACTGTCTGGCACTCGCTAGTGAGATAAACCCCGTACCTCAGATGGAAATGCAGAAATCACCCGTCTTCTGCGTCGCTCACGCTGGGAGCTGTTGACCGGAGCTGTTCCTATTCGGCCATCTTGGCTCCTCCTCCGGTGTACTAGTTTTCTATTGCTGCCATAACAGAGTACCTTAAACTTAGCTACTTAAACCATATAAATTTATTATCTTACAATACCTGTAGACCAGAAGCCTGACATGGGTCTCACAGTGTGTTAGTCTATATTGTCTAGAGACACAAATAAAATTAACCTTCACACTGGGCTAAAATTGCCATGTCAGTAGGGCTGTGTTCCTTTCAGGAAACTCTAGGGAAGAATCTATTTTCTTTTTCCAGCTTCTGGAGGTTGCCTGCATTTCTTAGTCTGTGGCCTTTTTCTCCAACTTCAAAGCTAACAAAAGTGGGCTGAGTCCCCACATCACATCTTATCTCATAAAAATTGCTTTTATTGAAAAATATATTTGTTGACAAGCACTTGTTGAAAGAATTAATGTCTAATTAAATAAATACATGTTAAAGTAACTAGTATCCATTCTATTCCTGACAGATTAACAGTGATAAGCAAGGTTGATTCTACCCATCACATTAAAAAGACTACAGCAAAATAATACTCTTAGTTACCATTGGTGGAAGTGTACTCTTACCTAATCTTCTACTTCCCTCACCCATTTTTAAAGGCTTCTGTGATTACATTAGGCTACCCAGATCATCCAATATAATTCCACATGAAAACTTAATTCCCCTTTGCCATGTAAGGTAACATATTCACAGGTTCTGGAAATTGGGATGTGAACATTTTGGGGACCATTATTCTGCCTCTCACAGGAGATGTTGCACCATGGAGAGTGCGTGGGTTTCAGGCTCAGGTGAATCTATACTACAATTCAAGTGTAGTCTCTCACCCAGTAAATGAGTTTAGCCAGATAACCTCTCTGAGACTTAGTTTTCTATGTGCAAAATGAATTAAATAATTTCTAAATTGTGATAGTTTTTGAGGACTAGGAGTAATATAAAATGCCTAGATTGTGGTAAAAAGAAAGTTAAGAGTGGCCATTATCATTCTTACCTATTTTTATTTGATCTTTACTTTTTTATGACATATATTATTCAAATGATATTTATTAATTAGTTTATTATCAGATTATCACATGTAGAGAATAGTGAGAAGGAGGTACAGAGAAACCTGCATAGTAGAAGGGAAGGTGATTTTAATAAGGTCAAGGCCTTACATGGTGGGATTGATGCCAGAGTGAGTAATCAGTGTACTTGTATTGGCTACTTCCTGGGAATATAAGCAGAAAAAAAAACAAAAACAAAACAAATACTCATTCTTGTTGGCCCAGTTTAATTAAATATGCCACTTCTGGCTCTACTCAGTACCTTCTCAATTAAAGACACTCAGAGTTCGCTTACTCTAAGTAAGGGACTACACAGGCTACTTACACATTGCTTAAAAAATTATCTCAGACAAAATGCATGATATGCTAGACAATCATGTTGTGTTAAACTGTATGCTCCAAGAAGGCAGGGGTTGGACATGTCTTGCTCAACACAAATTTCTTGGCACCTCGTCAGGTACCCACCACAGAATAGACACTCCATAAATATTTGTTGGATAAAATGAAAAGAAGTAGGCATAAAACCTGGATATTTAGTCCGTTTACCTGAACTGCATGTTTGTGAAGTCAGCTGGTATCTCTCAGTTGCTCAGTTTACCTCTAAAAGAGTTTGTGCTATTACCCTGAGTCCAAATTTATAAAAGCTTCATTATCAATAATACCTACTATGTGCAGACACAACAAAAGTTTTTCCTGTGCTCTGTAATTAAGTCTTACAAATCTGTGTAGCAGGTGTTCCTTTCCACATTTGAGAGCTGAGTCACTCACGGGTCAGAGAAGTCATTTAATGTGTTCAAAGTCATCCACCTTTTAATGGCAGACCTGATATTAAGCCTAGGCTTTTTTTGATTCAAAAGATCATGCTGTTTGACTTTTGCGGGCTTTTACGAAACAAATTTTTTTGAGCATTTGTGTTATGTGTTACGCCTCTTATAAGTGCTGGGAATATAAAGATGAAAATGTAAGACCAAGCCATATCCTCAAAAGCACAACTGTAACATGATGTGTTAACAGGTATATTAGCAGTATAAATATAGTACTATAGGGAGCACAGAGATGACAGCAATTATTTAGCATTCAGGGAATTAGAAAATTTTCTTCCTCCAAATTTTTGCATGTACCTATCCCAGTTCCCAGAACACTGTTCCTTTTCTTATTGATAGCCTACCCTTGGATTTCAGTGTAAACATCAGTCATACCAGTTATTCCACAACACTGAAGGCAAACCTAAATATTTCTGCTCACTATTTCCAAAGTTATAATTTCTCTATAATTATTGCTTAAATCTATTTTGTATGCGCCAGACATAATATCACGTGTTTGACATGAGTGATCTCATTTAATGACTAAAACCATAGTAGAGATAAGAAAACTGAGGTTAAAAGTTAGTAAATGTCTCATAGTTACACAGTTGGCATAGAATGGAGCTAGTATTTAAATCTAGACAGTTTGTCTAGATTATCATACCTGTCAAGGTACAGATTACACAGTTATATCATTGCTTATTGATGGCCTATCTGCTCTAAAATAGAGAACAAAAGCTGTGAGAAAAAGAATCTGGCTTATTTTGCTCACCTGTGTTATCTTTAGTTCCTAAATTTATGGTTGCAGGTAATCTGGACCTTGAAGAATTAGATGGAATTTGCTAGAATTTGAGAGAGAAAGAGATTTTGACATCAGTATGATTAATTGATTAGTTTTAGAGTGAATAGCAGCAAGGAAACCAATGGGAAGACTGTCTACAATTACCCAAGTGATGCAAGCATTAACTAGAACAGGAGTCATCAAACATTTTTTTGTGGAAAGCCTGATTGATAACAAATATTTTAGACTTTGCAACTACTCAACTCAGTCATTGTAATGCCAAAAAAGCCACAGACAATGCATAAACATATGAACATGGATGTGTTCCAATAAAACTTTCTTAGCAAAAGCAGTTGGCATACTCCCCCACAGGCAGTTGTTTGCTGACCCTGAAATAGAATACTGGTAATGTAACTGGAGGGTATGTGTTTTGAGAGTCTGTGTGTTATGCTGTGGTGGAAGTGAGTGAGAACTAGAGAAACATTTCAATGACAAAACTGGCAGGACTTGTTGACTGACAAACTATGAAGAATGAGAAAGGGAATGGCTGAAGATAATCCTGATTTCATAAAACCAAAGAAGATTAATTAGTTTAAAAGTCAAAAATAATAACATGAATTCAAAGTCCAAAAAAGTGAGTTTCACGTGGAAAATAGCATCTGATAATTTCTAAAGCCCAGAATAAAAGTGAATAGACATATACAGAGAAGAGCTCTGTCATGTACTTTTATAAGTCCATTATGGAACTCCATTATTACCCATCCCAATCTTTATATTTGGTTACTTAATTCTGAAGTCATTTTTTATGATTCATATTTTCCTTCAGTTCTTATCAAGAACAGCACAAGCTAAACTGTTCAAGCAGTAAGTCACATAGTCCAGTTCACAATTTAATTCACCAGGAAAAATTCCAAGAAGGTACCTTTTAAGATCTTTTGGGAAACCAGTGCTTAGAGAAAATTTTCCTTTGAGTTTTCAACAAACTCACAAAATTATAATTTCTACAGATGAGATTTTGTCCCTGACTGAAGGTTTTCTATTTGGCACAGTGCAAAGAGGCAATCTAGGTATTAAAAGTTGTGCCAAAAGATGAATTCATCCCACTGCATTCAAAGGTATCTTTAGAAAGAATATGAAAGATGGGCCTGGGTGAACACTCTTGGGTTTGATTTAATAGTTACATCCCTTTGCATTACACAAAGGCTCTTTTTGAAATGTTCCTACCACAAAATCTCATTTTATGATAGGAATTTGGGTACCAGATGGACTTTATGGATAATATTAATAAGCAGTACTTGCTACAAGTTATTTTCAAACTGATAGCCTGTACTGATATCCAGGTTTAAGAGAAAACACATTTTCTTCTCCATGTTTTTTAAAGGCAGTTGAACGAACCAAACAATGTGAGGAGCTTGATCAAAAAACTCCCTTTTTTGTGAGACAACTCCCTTTTTTGTGAGATGTAGTGATGGTCTTGAAGCACATAGAAATAGGAAGTGAAGGGAGAGCCTTTGCCAATAAATGCATCATCAGAATTTATAAATTGGCTTGGGAAGGAAGGGATGGAATATCAGAATCTAGTTACTTGTCCTCAGTCTTTCGACTCTTACAAAAATATGAGTCATCCTCTCACATAACTCATATGAACTCTGAGTAGCAAGAAATTCTGGAAACTTAGAAGTGTCACTAGGGGAGTAAGGAGGACAAGCCAGGGCTGAGAACACAAATTGGGCTATAGGGCTGTGTCCTCCCCAGACAGTAGTCCAATTGATAGTGCTCAAGCAGTAGAATAAACAGGCTTTTGGGAGCATTCAGCCATGATGTAGAAAAGACCAGATCTGGCCTTCAGAGAAGAGATTTGGCAAAGCCCAGGTCAGGGGTCAAAAGTGGTATACCCTTTGATAAGGACATAGGCAGCCCTGGTAGAAGGCCTATGGAGACAATCAAACAGCAAAGTGAACAGCCAACACCACAAAGATGGGCTATGGAAGGCTGGACATCACTGGTATCATAGGTGCCTAGGATCTACTCCAGATGCACTACGTACTGATGCAATGGCAATGAAACAAATTCATAACCCTGGTTCTTTACCCTTCACTCTGATGGTTAAGGCTGATGCCATAGTTAATGATTGATCAGTTGTGGCTTCTGAATAAGTTGAGAAGGCAAAACCAACCCTCTTCCTCCTCTTCACCTTCAGTCTTGAGGAAATTGTCCAGTGTCTCTTTGAATTTAGATAATAGTATTGGCTAACAAATATTAGTTCTTACTATGTGCAGACACTATTCTATGTTTTTACATGGTGCCTAATTCTTTTAGCTCTACAGAAAAGTATTATACCCATTCATAGTTTAGGAAAGTGAAATTAAAAGAAGGTTAAATTGTTCATCCAAACCTAAGTGATAAGGCCTACAACAGGAATAGTTAGAACATTATTGCTGCTTTCTAGAGGCCCACTCTACTCTGGATACAGAATCAGTACATATTAGTCACCCAACAAGATGGATGCTGTGGTAAAACAACGAACCAACTCCATAGGAGGAGAGCACAGCTTTTCCTGGAGAGATCAGAAAAGACTTCTCAAAAGAAGTTGACCTTTGATCTAAAATGCCAGGCCTTAACCTCCAGTAAGGGGAGGTCCTAAAAGTGGTGGGAGCCCAAAGAGGGTTGTCTGTGAATAAGTGGAACAATGATGTAGTTGGGAAGGAAGCTGAATCCTGGAGTTAGGAGAACCTGAACTGTGTACCAAACAGAAGGATAAAAGTCAAGTAGAAAACAACCAGGGGGCTTGTGTGAATAAAACAAGAAACAAGGAATGGAGTGAGGGAATTCGACCCAGGAAATAAAAACACTGAAAAAAATAAGCTATTTCCTTTTGCAAAAATGTTATTTGTAGACCAGTCATTTTGCATATTATCTAATGTTCACTAAAAATATTGCACCACACCAGGCACATAGTTTTGAAGGTGAGCATGGCTTGACCTGGCATGAAAATGGTGGTGTAAGGATATTCTACATCCAAGAAATAACATGTGCAAATGTGTCCAGCCAAAAAGTAATGTGACACGGTTCGTGTGCCATAGTTAATGAAGTAAGTATTTTAACAGAGCTTGAATAAAGTATGGTAGTGAACATGGAGCCCCAGAGGGATTGGAGAGGTGGGTGTTAACCACAGCATGTTGAAAGGCCTTTACAGTACATTATAGGAGTTGAATATATTGCATATTTGCTTTCAGTCATGGAATGCCACCTTCTGGTTTACATTTTAGAATATCATTCTCACAGCATCGTGAGGTCAGGCAACACACTGGTGGAAGAATTAGGATGTGGTTGCAAACGCCAGGCAAGCTAAGAGTGCACAAAGAGGAAGGAGTGATAGCATTTCCCGTATGGAAATGCTACTTACATGCTGTTGTTTTATTTTCGAAGGACTTTCTCCTTAACCCTAACAACTACACAACACTGCAAGGCAGACATATAATAACATCAGTTCACAGTATTGAACCCTTACCATGCCAAGTACCAAATCTTAGAGAGGCATTTAAGCACATTAGTAAAATTTTCAGCACTTAGTACCTCTGAGTCCTAGAGAAATGTATCTCCCTATCCCTCAATTTTCTCATCTGTAAAACTGGAATGTTTCATAGTGTTGTGAAGAATAAATATTACATTAAAAGTACTTGGAACAATTCCTTGCACATAGTAAGCAGTCAAAAATGTTAGCCTTATCATGTTTAAATTTTGCAGTGTCTTTTATTACTCTTTTAGTATCGTATTACAGATGAAGAAATAGAATCAAAGAGAATGTAAATATAACTTGCTAATGGTAAAAACACAGCCTATTCTGATTCCTGATCTTACTCGGGAGAGAAAGGGTGCATGATTTTCAACCAGCACAACATCCAATTTTATTATAATAGGTGAGGAGCTGTGGATGAGGGGAATGCCATCATCTAAGACTTATCTATTAATGGCTTCAATGAAAGCACTTCCCAAGCCAAACAGGGATTCTTCTTCTTATCTAATTCACTGCACTGCTTCTTGGAATCCTTTCACAGCATTTTTATCTTCCCTGACATTTAATTTGTAATCCCAGGAAACCAGAAACTTTCACATATGCAGTTGCCTAGGCTCTCAAAGCAGGGAACACTCCCTTAACTAGGCAACAGATATTTCCAGCAGAAACCGCAGTCAGTGAACATGGCAATATGCAGTGGGAATTCAGTGAAGCTTGCAATGAGTCAGCCAGATTTCTGTGCCCAGAGCTGTTCAGGGTTGATAGCACCATGTAAACAGAAAAATCAAGCGTGTAGGTTGAATACAATTGTGATAAAGGCAGAGGCCTACACTCCATTAAAACTATTGTTAGTTCAGTAGTATTGTCTATGTAATATTAATCATAAGAGTAAAGCTAGTTTTTAGGGTTGATTTTATATACTGTGTCACACAGGCAAGGCTCCAACAGGCGTGGTGATTTGTCAAGGTCAAACAGCTAATATATGAGTTTCCTATGGCTGTTCCAACAAATTTCCACAAACAGCGGCTTAAAACAATGCTAATTACTTTTCTTACAATTCTGGATATCAGAAGTCCAAAATGACTCTTACTGGGCCAAAAATAAGTGAGTGTTTCTTTCTGGAGACTCTAGAGACCCTGTTTCCTTGCCTTTCCCATCTGCTAGAGGCTGCCTACATAGCCTGGCTCATGGTTCCCTTCCTCAATCTTCAAAGCTCACAACTTCATCACTCTAACATCTGCATTCATGGTCACATATCATAATCTCTGTTAATTTAAAACCCACAAGATCCACACATTTAGAAAAGGAGATTTTATTTCTTGTAAAGGGTTGCAGCCTGCACATGGCCATTTCACAGAGTGGGAAGCATAGTCTCTGGCAAAGATAAGAGATGGCACTTCAAAGGAGGAGAGGTTAGGCTAGGAGCTTTATGATGAACAGATTGGCTACACATACATATTTAACAGGATGTGGGAGAAGATCTGAATATTCAGGAAGGTGGTCCTGACACATGCGCGCTGAATAAACATGCATGTAACATACAATCTACGTTCACTTTGAGGTGGAGACTTAACACTTAGATACATGACAATTAGATCCTGTATGTCTAAAAGTCTTCTCAGAACACAAAGGCACTCAAGTGTGCTGCCTCTGTAAACTGACCAAAACCTATCCATGGTCAGTGGTCTTCTAATAGGGAGAAAGTTGCTGAAATCAGTCTCTTGTCCAATCAAAGCTTTAGTTAGGGCTGGTGGGACAGGGGGCCCTCAGTTAGTCAGTGTCTAACGATTAGTAAAGTGGAAAGTTTCAACATTGCTTATTTCAAGGCCAGTATTTGTTTAGCCTCTTGCTGGAGAAAAAGGAAAAATTTGTGACAATTAGAACATAATTTATTCTTTAAGTGTAGGGCTGGATGACTTAACTCTTGCCTGGCATGGCCTTAGGTCCTGTTTGTAATTTGGTATCTGACTGCCACAAAGTCTGACCTGTCAGTCTTATGATCTCCAGTTTAACATTGTTTTCTCTAAACTCCAAAAGGGAGGGAGTATAACCAGGTGTGTTTGACCTCCCATCCTGTCAGTTTTCAAGCTTTTTCTGGTGTCTTCTTAGCCAAGAGGGGGTTTGTACAGTTGGTTGGGGCTTAGAATTTTATTTTTAGTTTACACCTGACTCTGGCTCTTTTGTCTCTGTCTTGCACTTGTAAGGACTCTATTATTACATTGGTTTTATCTGGATAATCCAGAATAATCTCTCTATTATAAGGTCAGCTGATTAGCCACAATAATTCCATGTGTTACCTTAATTACTCTTTGCCATGTAACCTAACATAGTCACAGGTTCTGAGGATTAGGCTATGGATATGTAGCAGGCCATTATTCTGCCTTTTACAGCTAGGAAAACTCCCCTACACATTTACTTAGTACAGAGATGCTCATGGAGGCAAAAATGAATGCAGCAAGACACTGTGAAAGTATGCCCAGCATTCGCTGTGGTGGCACACCAACTCCTCAGCCCAACAGTTCATTCTCTATTTGTCAGAACCCTACACACACTTGGTCACTCACTCAGTTAAGGAAGCTCTCCGTATCCACCTCTATAACTGATGCTTCTTCCTCTTTGCCTAAAACAAGCTGTTATTCTTCTATGTCACTTTTATGCCTTGTAGAAGAGATTAATCTACATAACTCTCCCAGTACTTTAAGATCTGCCATCCATTCCACTCCCAACTTTCAAGAGTTCAGCACAGAAAGTTTTATTAAATGTCTTATTGAGTGGATCTACAAATCTACATGTTAAAGGTGGTGATGATGCCAAGAGTCAAATACTGTCTTCCAGGAGCATGATTTCCATTTAATATGCATTCAAGGAGTATTTCCAGAGCACTGCGTTCCTGGTCCTGTGGAATGAGAAAGATAAGGGCACTCTCTACACTCATAGAATGTGCACTGTGATGGAGGAGGGATACAGATAAACAAATTGCTCTAAATCATTAAATGTGCAGGGTCCATAAGAGTGTGAAGGAGAGGCATGTACTTTCAATCAAGTGATCTCTTAGGGGAAACTGTGTTTTGGTTCTGGTTTTGGTTTCCTCACTTGCAAAATGAGACTGGAATAAATTGGAGGATGCTATCGGGCCCTGGACATATTTAGTCCATAGAGGGGATGCCAAACATATTGGCCCTGTGTGGTGGGTTTTTCTTTTCTTTTTTTGAACTAACATCAGATGTGCTGGCAACATGGAGCCTATTTACCTCCCAGCAATGATCTGAGCTGAGATGTGCATGCCTCTGGCATCTGCACATGCTGTCCAATCACCATCAGTCACTTCACTTGCTATGGCCCCTCTTACATGGAAGCCAAGTATCAGGGGCCATTTTTCAGCAGGCAGTAGGTCACCTCACTCATTCACCGTTAGTATTAGCTCATACCTAATGTGACTCCCAATTTTAATGGTCTGGTTTTCCATTTGCTTAATTGTGTGAATAAATCAATATACCAACCTCAACCTTGGGACTTTGGAAATACGGAGATAAATAATAAATATATCTTGCCTTTAAGACAGACACTAAACAGACGCCAATTATAACAAACCAATGAAACAGTGGATATGTGTTAACAAGAAAGAAAGCATGAAACAAACGACAAAGGACAGTTCTCTAAGAAGGGGACAGGCTTTACAGCAGGGTGGCATCAGGTAAGCAAGGAGAAAACAACTTTGCCAGTGCATTGCACACATTTGGATACAATGTAGGTTCAAAATAGATGGTTGCTGAAGAGAATGGAGTTAAATTGAATTCTACAATGAGAAACCTGAATGTCAAAGGCAAAGAGGTGAATGATAACCTTGTGTTCTGGGAGCCATAATCATTTGACCAGGGTTGTAGCATAGAATTTACATTCAGAAGAAGGGAGATATGAGGCTGGGGAGACAGAAAAAAATTCAATAATTGATATCTTGTGTGTCAGGTTGACGAGGTTTAATTTATTCTAAAGATGATAGGGTATCATGGTAGGAGATTAAGCAGGGAACACATGGATAGATTTGAAAGGTTTTTCAAAAGATCACTGTCAAGAGAATGAGTGATCAACATTAGGGGGTTATACCATAGATAGAGAAATAACTTGGGAGACTGTTGTGATAACCATGGTGAGAGAAAACCAATAGTTAAGATTTCTTTGTTGCAAATGAGAGACATTCCAAGTCAAATTCTGTTAATAAATAAGTAAGCTTATTGGCTTATGCAATGAAAGTAGTGAAGTAGGGTGGGCTTTGAAGATGGATTAAAACACCTGTCTCAGATCCATTTCTCTTTCGTTCCTGGGCTATACATTATCTTCTGGCTGGTTTTCCTCCTGTGGTGAATTAATTCAGGCTTTAAGTCTTCAGAAAATTTCCAGCAGTTGTCCCCTTGAATCTCATTGGCGAAATGGATTATGTGCTCTTCATCTAATCTTTTGTTCATGGGAATATGAAAAGCTAGGTTTAGGAGCCCCTCTTTGGGATAAGGATGGTAGAATTGCCATTCAATCAATCAGACCTATCCCTGAAGTTGGGGGTTGGATTAGGTTTTTCTGAATTATCCAGGTCATATACGGGAAAGGTGTATATGGGAACAACATTTAGATTACTATTGGGAACAGGAAAGGAGTGCTTGGGAGACAGCTATCAAGAGGTACTTTGAATGATAATGGTCTAAGTTTTTTTTTTTTTAATTTCAGGAATGAAGTAATGGAGAGGATAGATAAATGTTAAAAGGATGGAAGAATTGAGAGATGGTCATTGATTAATTATGAGAGGTTAAAAAAAATAAAGAAATTGAGAAAGGAGCCTCAACTTTCTGATATGGATAACTGGGATTTCTCAAAAATGAACATATTTTAAAGTAAAGAAAATGAGTTGACAATCCCTGATTCTTTGTTATTCAAGTGAGGTTTAGAAATAAGTTGGATGGTTGTGTTAGAGGACCAACAAGTTCATATGCCCACTGCATAATAACAGACCTAAACACTGAGGCAGCTGGGTTTACATCAGAGAAAATGACTAATGATCTCAGGGTAGCTGAGGAGATGGAAGGAGACCCTCAAACTCATCTCTCCAAGGAGTTTTGGGCTGAGGCTATTTTTATTTTATTTTATTTTATTTTATTATTTTATTTTATTTTATTTTATTATTTTATTTTATTTTATTTTATTTTATTATTTTATTTTATTTGAGACGGAGTCTCACTCTGTGGCCCAGGCTGGAGTGCAGTGGCGCAATCTCAGCTCACTGCAATCTCCGCCTCCCGGGTTCACGCCATTCTCCTGCCTCAGCCTCCCGAGTAGCTGGGACTACAGGCGCCAGCCACTGCGCCCGGCTAATTTCTTGTATTTTTAGTAGAGACGGGGTTTCATCGTGTTAGCCAGGATGGTCTCGATCTCCTGACCTCGTGATCCGCCCGCCTCGGCCTCCCAAAATGCTGGGATTACAGGCTTGAGCCACCGCGCCCGGCAGCCGGGGTTTTAAGGGGATTTATGGAGGGCAAGGGAATGAAAAATTGAGGCCATTCATTGGTTGGGGCAAGAAGGATGAAATCATCAGGATGTGGAAACTGCACTGTTTGGGTAAGTCAGCTTCTCCTGGGGTCCTTCAGGCCAGCTGATGTCAGTAATTTCACTGGTATGCAGGACTTGAAAGAATACCTCAGATGGGTAAATTTAATATTTCATAATGTTTAGGTTGTTGACTATAAAGCAGTTAAGGGGAGCTATAATTTGTGACAGGGCTTATGTGATTCTGAGGCAGTAGGCTGTGAACAACCATGAGGAAGCAGATCAGAGAGCAAGCTGACCTAATGATTAATGCTGAATGTGCTGGAAGCTTGGTTTATTTTGGTTTCTCCCCCTACCTTCTTCTATGATAAATTTTGTAAAATTTATAAGGATGGTTTCAGTTGAGTCCAGATCACAAAAGAGAAGATAGGATTGGAGGTAAAGATTAGGAGCATCATAAGATCACAGATGAGATTCCCCAAGGACAGGACTATGATAAAGGCAACCTCTGAGCATGTTACAATAAAATTGTTCTTTAAAGACATGATTCTTACAAAAGGGCAACTCTCCCCTTAGGAATAAAAGAGGTCCCACTAGCCTCTGAGAGCAGCTACTTCAACCTCAAAACCAAGGAGTTCCAGCTGAGTGGCCAGGAGAGTTGATGAGCAGCTTCTTCGCCTCCCCTTAGTGCTCCTTTGAGGGAGCTAAAATGCATTACAACTGCCACTGTTGTCTGCCCTCTGGAAGTTTACAATGTGAGACAAATGTTCAGTCTATTTAGGACAGGAACTGTGTCTGAAAATATGCCCCTCACCATACAAGAGAAGCAATGGATTCTTAGTGTCCAGAAATAGAGGTCTGACTGAAATTTGACTTGTGCTTGATAATACGTGGCTTGCCTTGTTAGGATGTTAAATATTAGAGAGGTAACTCATCACTGCAGATTAGTGAAGTCATCAAAATCATTTAGAAATAATTGCGGGCCTAATTTTAATTAGAAGTTTGATTGCTACTATTGAAACGAAATAAGAGAAATGCACACTCCTCACCCTCTGAATGTTTTTCCCATTGAAACAACAATTACTGTGTCAATCTTTAGCTCATTAGTGGGCCTTTTCTGAGATTTACATTAGATGGTTTCCAAAGAATAGAGTATTTTAGGCAGGGAATATAGTGTGGCAGGACTGTAATCAAGAAAACTCCTAGAATCAAAAGAAAAGATAGTAATGTCATTTTCTGAATGTAAGCTAATATAATGCAAGAAAAATTGATGGCTTTCAAAGGAGTAAGATAAAAAAGTATTCCAACAGGTGGGGATATTTTCATCAGTCTGGCAAGGAGAAAAAGAAGTGCCCCTAAAATGGAAAGCAACCACCTAAAAAGAAACAAATATAAAAACCTTAAAATGACTGTCTTAAAGAAATGTTGTAGGTAGATATAAGTTGTTGATTAGCATGTTGAAATGGGAGAGGTCCCCGACCCCCTCGTGGGACTTGTGACAGGGGTGTGACTCATTTGTTCACCACCACTCACTCAAGCCCCTTATGGGAGGGGGAGCATGCAGATGGGCAAGTACAGGAGCTGAGGCAAGTGCTTTTGGGCTCCAGCCCCATGGTAGCATCTAGGGGTGTGTTACAATTAATGCCCTTTTAGCAGTTGCCATCCACGGATGGCTAAGTGTTAAACCAGCTCAGTGGAGAGTTGGGGTAGCAGCCTTTTACACCCTGACTACTTGGTACCCAGGTCCTTGTCCAGTGTCCAAGAAGAATCAGGTCACTCGGACTTGAAGGATGGTGAGTGAGGGGCTTTTATTGAGTGGTGGAGGTGGCTTTCAGTGAGATGGATGGGGAGCTGGAAAGGGGATGGAGTGGGAAGATGACCTTCCACTGGGGTTTGGCTGTCTATGGTCAATTCCCCTCCAACCGTCCCTAGTCAAACTTCTCTCAACATTCAGGTGCTCCTTCTCATCTCTCCTTCTCTGCTGCACTGCTCTGCCACTCTGCCACTCTTCTACTCCTCTGTTTCTCTGCTTGTGGAGCTTGGGATCTATATGAGCAGAGGATAGGGGCATGAGAGGCCAGAGTGGCCTTGGAAAAGGCAACATTTGGACAGGAAAACTAGGAATGCCTGTTTCCATTCAGGGCTGTGTGTTTCCAGGGTTGAGGGTGGGGCCTTTGCAGGGTACTGTCCTCTTCTACCCAGTATTTTCCTGCCTTCTGTCCTTATCAATGTGATTTCAGAAATGATACACCAGAGACCAGGAAGCATCATTTATCAAATCTTATCCTCACATGGAAAGAGAGAAGAGACAGACAGAGAGGGAGAGGCAGGTGGGAAGCACAGAAACAGAAAAAGGGGCAGAGACTATGTGGAAAATAAGCATTTTGCTCAACAAAGTGGTGTACTCTGGAATAATGACAGTTCTCTGGGTTCTACATGGCCTATTTTATTCATGTCTAACTAATTTATTTTGCTCTGTTTCATATTTTCCAAAAACTGTTGTATTTCTATTTATTTGCTTATTTATTTAGAGACAGGCTGTTGCTCTGTTGTGTAGGCTGGAGTGTAGTGGTGTAGTCATGACTTACTGCAATCTCAACCTTCTGGTCTCAAGTGGTCCACCCACCTTCAGCCTCCTGAGTAGCTAGGACTACAGGCCCGCACCACCAGGCCTTGCTAATTTTTAATTTTTTTGGTAGAGATAAGGTCTTGCTATGTTGCCCAGAACATTCATATTTTGAATTTGGCTTTTCAAGTATTCCAGGATATGGTAAGAATGAAAAAGTTCAAGTGGCATGATTGACTGCTTAACAAATATCAAAATACTGTTCTAAGTATTTTGTTTGCACTACTGTGTCTAAGGGTACTTAGATAATAACAATTCTGGTCACTAACTTTTTTGCATTAATAAAGAATAAATGTGTTTTCTGAGTATGTCTTTGAGTTTATTTTCCATAAATTAATAACTAAACTAGTAAAATCAAAGATTAGGATAAGACATTAGTTTTCAAAATAATGTTATCATAACCCATTCTATATTAAAAAGAAAACAAAGAAACAAACTCAGTGGTCTGTCTTTCTCTTTGTTACTTCTTATTGCAACAAAGTGCATTTTATATAAAATGTCATCACTGGCCAATTTCTCAAATGCTAGCTGGAATTTTTTGCAGGTATCCAAGAGCTTTTTGCAAAGAAAACAAATGGTTAACCAAGTTAATTTATATAAACAAAGGAAGGGGTATATATGGCAGACACTACTAGTGCTGGCTGCCTACCAAATTATTCCTTCTCTTCTGTGTTACTAAGAGACTTATCCATCTGGAGCATCAGTGTTCCCAGGCTACAAAACAAATAAACAACAAACAAAATCCCAGCCTTCCTTGAAATTAGAGGTGTCCATGTTACACAGTGTTGGTCCCCCCAGAAAGAAAAGAAATGAATGGAAACATGCTAGACGTTTCTGGAAATGTTATTTTGGAAACTTTTATTTATTCACTCCATTATTCACTCGGTTTTAAGTAAAGTATACACACTGTGGCTCTTTATTACAATCAGCACCTGCACAAATTTATAATTCACCCTCTCTGTAACTCTTCTCAGTGGAATTAGAATGATGAGGTCAAGGCCAGTGCATTGCACAACTTCGGTGGGCACTGTAATCTATTCAAATAGTGTATTCTGAGGGCACCAACACTGTCTCTGGAAGAGGTTACAGCCTGATTCCACAGAACCAAACTGTTGTCTTACTTTATGTATAAATGTCTGCAAAATGTCATGGTTCTTTTGGAGAATTAATCGAATTGAGGTATATATTAAGGGAGAAGATATGTTGGATTTTCATAGGAGCAGCCTTGTCATTATTCTGAAATTTCTCATCAAACACTAGCACTTGAATATTTTTCTTGTGATGACAATCCCTTACTTCAGGTGGTTTGGCTGGTTCTCCGTCTCCAAGAGTGCTTTGTCCTTTATAAATGGCAACAATGACAACGGTTTGAAAAAGCCAAGTTGGAGGGAACAATTAAGAAGATAAATCTGATGATTCTGCAACTATTCTGGGCCATCAGTGGAGATGAAACGCGAACAATTTATCTCACAAAACAAGCTTAGCACAAATGCACACTGTGTCAATAGTCTTCCTCATTATAATTGATGGTAACTCTGTCCTAGTTGCTCAGGTCAGAAACAGAGTAATTCTTGACTTTTCTCTTTCTTTCACACTTCCACATCCAGTCCGACCACAAATGATGTCATCACCAACTACCATTTAAATTTCCATGTAAGTTCTTCAGTTCTGGTTTTGCTTTACTGATTTCAGATACAGCTGGAACCAGGGTTTGCAGGACCCCCGAGGTTAGATAGTTCATATTTCTCCTTCCCGCATTTACTCTGTCTCATGTCCTCAAAGCCAAAGAGTTTTAAACGGCAACTGGTTTGCATACTGACTTTCACTTTTTTTTCTTCCTTTGATTTTTGTTCTCACTAGCTCCAATGAAATGTAAAATACCTTGGAATCTTTAATGCTCAATTCTAAATTGACAGGTGTTCTAAACTTGGAATCTAGTCTGTGTGGCACTTGAAATCTCAGCAGATGTCTCCTTTTATGACCTTTGTAGTGAAGACTACTATGATGACCAGATATAGAAAATGATGTCATTATTGAGCTGATTTCTTCAGAAAGTATCTCTCTCTGAGCAAGACTGGACTGAGACATTACCTTACTTCCATGGTAAGGTGGGTGACAATGAGGCAGTAAACATTTTTATGGCGAAAAAAGTGTGTGTGTTATTTTATAGCATCCTAGGACACCCAAAGGGCTAAATCCTAAAAAGGAGGTCCAAGTAATGATAACATCAGTCTAGGGGTTCAAAGAGGTACACCTTGCCTGAGGCATCCAGTTCAGCACTTGTCTGGCTGGAAAATTTACAGAAACAATTAAAATTCCCTGTACAATAATTGTCCCAAAACTTAGGACAGTAAAGATGAAATGAAATTTAGGGAACCTTTTATTCAAATACCTCCTTTAGTAGAACTACAGGCATGATATTCCTTGACCAGATTTACACAGCAATTTAGAGGATGATTTGGACTGAAAACTTGAAAAAAGAAAAATCGTTCAGAGCAATCTGAGCTGTGTGAAGTATGTAAAATATATCAGGCCCAGAGAGATGGGAGTGTGGGACTTCAGTCATGTCACCTCCTCCCCCATGCCTGAGGGCAATTGTTTAAAGTAATTTTGTTCCTGACTAGCTGTCTCACGCATTATCTTCGTATTTCTGGAATTTCAGTTTGTTTTTTCTTTTTATTTTCTTTTCTTTCTCTTTTCCTTTTTCTTTTTTTTTCTTTTTTTTCTTTTTCTTTTTTTTTTTTTTGAGACAAAGTCTTGCTCTATTGCCCAGGCTGGAGTGCAGTGACGTGATCATAACTTACTGCAGCCTCAAGCTCCCAGGCTTAAGCAATCTTCCCACCTTAGCCTCCCGAGTAGCTGGGACTACAGGTGTGCACCATCTCACCAGGCTAATTTATTTTATTTTATTTTTTTATTTTCAGTAGAGATGAGGTCTTGCTATGTTGCCCAGGCTGCTCTCAAACTTCTGGACTCAAGTGATCCTCCTGCTTTGGCCTCCCAAAATGCTGGGATTATAGGCATGAGCAACTGTGCCTGGCCATGGAATTTGTGATACAAAGAAAAATATATAGCTCATCAATAGATTATGCTATTTTAACGTAAATTATTGGTAAACAGTTCTGGAACTGCCTCTTCTTTTTCATTAGAAATCTTTTCGATGTATCAGAAAGCTGAACTTTGAAAAAAAAAAAAGAAAAGAAAATCAATTGATAACTGCTGTTAATTGGAGTATATATTTAGGACAACTTGACTCTATCCTCCCAGATTGCTGTCCAAAGCAGGGTCCAAGTGAACTCTACTTACGTTAATTTTTCCTCAGTTTCTTCTTTTTAGTTTATTGAGAGAATACAGATGAAGTACTTAGTTTTTTGCCTGTTATTGCTAAGACAGCGATCTCAGGAGGGAGCTGTCATGAGTTCAGAAAGTTTCCCTCTAGAGCCTCAAGAACATGAAAATAGATCTTCAAAGCAGGCAGGCTGGGGTCACAATGTGGACAAGAAATTTCAGGGTTTGAAAAACTGTAATTAATCCCTAGAACCTAATGGGAACCCAAAGTGACTTAAGTAACCTACTCTTAACCCAAAAGGAAATAATAATAATAATCAATTGGCCAATGATTGCTATTTTCCAATAAAGTTTTTAAAAATGAACAAAGAGATCCACATTCATTTTCATTTTTATTTTTAGAACTAAAGAATTTGTAGCTTAATTGAAAGAAAAACATAATTTCATTGTTTAATGGCCTTGAAAAAAATTGCAATTTAACATTATGCTGTGATTGGGCTTTTTATACTGCATTTTCATAATCATATTTCTTTAGACTATCACATATAATAATTCTCTATTTTACACTGAAGAATTATTTACCTAAAGTAGTATTAAATTAGACAAATGTTCTGTTTAAAAAGGTTTTTAGCATATGTTTCAGTTTTAGAAAATCACCTACAAATGAATATGTGAACTTTTTGCAGGGAATTACACTGCAATAATCATCGCTATTTAAACACTACTTAAAACCGGAAAAAGACTAAAGTCATCATCATGTCTAGCCTCACTAACTTCAGTAAATTAAAGATTAGTGGCACCAATTTATAGTAACTACTGGAGTAATTGCTTACTACTTTTTACATAGTATTTAAGCCTGTTATATACTGTTAGTACATTTTCTATGAAGATCGAAGGGAGAAACTTCCCTTTGGTCTCAGCATCAGAGATAGTTATATTTCTCCTAAGCAACTGGTTTGTTTGGAGAATAATAGTATCATTTTCTCTTCTTTCTTATTTGGAACTTTCATAAGAAGTTCCATACACAGCTTTCATTTATATAGCCAATCATTTCATTTATATGTCCAATCATCTATTGAGTTTTATTATATATTAGACATCCTCTTAGGCACTGTAGACACTAAAATAAAGCAAGATTCCTGCCCTTAAGCACTCAAAATCTAATGGGGAGGACAAACCAGTAACTAACAGAAAATCCCTTTGCTATGTAAGTGTGAGAATGCCAGAGAAGGTTGCTATGGGAACCGTTGGAAGAGGAATCTGAGTCATAGGCATCAGGGAAGGCTTTTCGTAGGAGTAGATGTCTATACCAAACCCTGAAGAATGAATAGAAATAAGCTGTTAGAGAAGTTGGCGGAAAGTAGGGAGATAAAGAGAATAAGAATATTTACCAGGAAAACAAAATAGAGAGCACCAAACCCCAGAGGAAAGAGACAGCATGGAGTGTGGCTGGAGCAGAAAATGTGTGTGGGAGGTATTAATATGGCGGTGGGATAGTTAGGTTCCTAATGGAACTCATGCATCAGAAAAAGAGACTGGACTATCCTAAGGCAAGGGAGAGCCATTGCAACTTTTAATTTTTATTTATTTATTTATTTATTGAATTTTAGGAAGATCATTCTGGTGTGAAAATTGGTTTGGTTGGGGATCAAGCCTGGAGCACTGGAAACAAATTAGGATACTAAATCAGTTCTCAGAATCGAAGTTGAATGTCCTAACAATAGGAAGAGATTGATTGGAGACAGATTAAGGAGATGGAACCCGTAAAAGACATAGTAAGTAACTGGATTAAGGTTGATAGTGTAAATGTAATATTCTATTATCCTGTGAGATTTGTAAGGAAGCCTGGTCTTCTGTTTGCATTTCTGTGTGTACAACTTGCCTTTTATTACAAAAGATTTGAACTGAAGCTAGCCTCATTACTTCGAGTATCTGGGTATCTGTATAAAGTCATTTAGGTATTTTCAGAAGACCCTCTGACCCAAATAAAATATTGTCCACTTATATCTGAAATTCTACAATTAGAGCTCCATTCTTTTTTTTTTTTAGAGCTCCATTCTTTTTATTTAAGCTACACACTCTGCTTATTCAACAAAGCTTATATGTCACTTATAATTCAAAGTGGATGAGTTTATTGTCTCTTTTCCTGAGAAAATTAGAAAGAGCATTATAAGAAGACTTGCAGTAAAAGAGCAGTGGGAGTAGGGGTTGGGAAGGAAGTATACGATCCGCAAGGAGAGGCTAAGGACACAGAAAGAAGCAGGTGGAAGGTGGGCTTTCTTAACCAGTCTCCCCTCTCCCACTCTTGCCTTGCTTCATCCTGCCAAAAACCAGAAACTGCAGGCATCATGTTAAAACATAAATTAGATAATATAACTTCTCTGCTCAAAAGACTTGAATGGCTTTGCTGTTCATTCTGACTAAAGCCAAAGTAGCCTCCAAGATCCTACAGATCTATTACACCCTACCCCATGATGTTACTTCTTTGAATCTTCTGTCATCTTTCTTTCATCCACATGCTGGCTTTCTTGTTAGTTCATAAACCCATTGAGCATTCCTGTGTCAGAACATTTGTTTCATCTCTCCTCTGTTTAAATGATCTATCTCTAGAAAGACAATTGCTTGTTTCTTCATTTGCTTAGTCTTTACCCATATTTAATATTCTTTATTGAGGTCTCCCCTCATCATTTTATTTAAAATATGCCCCTTTCTCCACACTCCCTACTTCATTCTTTCTGTAATTTACCACCATCTAACATACTATCCACGCTACTCAAGTATGTTTTTTTTTTTTAATTGTCTGACTCTCGCTGGAATGAAATCACTTTGTTGCATCCCTAGATGTATACCACTACCAGACACACAATAAAGGTTAGTAAATATTTATCAAATTTCGCCTTACCAAAGTCTAGCTCTGCGGGTCAGGAAGTATTTGCGGATGGAGAAATAAATAGAGTATCACCAAGTAAGCCAGTAATAAAGTTGGAACAAGGGTGCAGTTCATTCTCGCTACGTGACTTTTACTGGAATACTACATGAGTTATATAGTCATTGTCATTCTTTCCCCATCTTCCTATTTTATATAAAATATATAAAATTCCGGTTGGAATGGGTCATCTGGAGAATTCAAGTCAGGATTCTCTTTAGCTCAACATACAGGCAGATTTCCAGAAAAATTCCTCCATATGCTATTTCTTTTTTCTCTAATGTCCTTTTCTCAAACTTCCTGTGCTGGCCACACCAAGCATGCTCTGTTGACTTAGCTTTGACATTCTCCAGGTGCTGAGAAGAGTCTTGCCAACGGACTCACCTGGGGTGAAACCTTTTCATGTTCTTCTGCCCCTAATACCAGAAGTGATCGGTCTCACTCACCCAGACTTTGAGTTAGGATTCAAAAATTATTTCCCCCATTTCTGTGAAAAATGCCACTGGATTTTTGATATGGATTTCACTGAATCTGTTCTATAGATTTCTTTGGGTGTTAAGGGTATTTTAACAATATTATTTCTTCCAATCCATGAACAAAAGATATCTTTCCATTAATTGGTGTCTTCTTCAATTATTTTCATTAATGTTTTCTAGTTTTTCGTGAACATATCTTTTGTGTGTTTGGTTAAATTTATTCCTAAGTATGTTTTTCTTTTTGATATTGTTGTAAGTGAGGTTTGTTTTAATTTCCTTTTTTGAATAGTTTGATAGTAGTGTAAAAAATGCTATTGATTTCTGCATGTTGATTTTGTTTCTTGCAACTTTACTCAATTTATTTATTAGTTCTAATAGTTTTTAATGGTGTCTTTAGAGTTTTCTATATATAAGGTCTTATCATCTATAAACAGATAATTTTACTTTTTTCTTTCTTTTTTGGATGACTTTTATTTATTTTTCTTGTCTAATTGTTCTGGCTAGGACTTCCAGTACAATGTCAAATAGAAGTGGTAGGAGAGGGCATCCTTGCCTTGTTACTAATTAAAAGAAAAGCTTTCAGTATTTACCCATTGATTATGTTAGCTGCAGTTTTCCATAAATGGCCCTTATTGTGTTGGGGTATGTTCTTTATACACCCTTTTTGTTGAGAGTTTTTATCAGGAGTAAATATTGAGCTTTGTTAATACTTTTTCTATGTCTTTTGAGATGGTCATATGGTTATTTTTCATTTTGTTAATGTGGTGTATCATATTGATTAATTTCTGTGTGTTAAAACAAACTTGAATCCCAGGGATAAATCACAATTGGTCATGGTGTATAATTTTTTTCATGTGCTGTTGAATTTAATTTGCTAGTAGTATTTTGTTGAGAAATTGTGCAACTATGTTCATTAGATATATGGTTCTCTTGTGGTGTCTTTGGCTTTGTTACCAGAGTGATGTTGGCCTCATAAAATGAGTTGGGAAGTGTTTTCTCTTTTACTGTTTTATAGAAGAGTTTAAGAAGAATTGTTATTAATTCTTTAAATGTTTTACACGATTCAGCTGTTAAAACTATCAAGTTCTGGGTTTTTCTTTGTTGAGAGGTTTTGTTTGCAGCTTAAAGCTTAATAACAAATAAGTTATTAGTCTGTTCAGGGCTCCTATTTCTTCTTGATGCAGTCTTGATAAATTGTATGTTTCTAGGAATTTATCCATTTCTTCATGATTATATAATTTATGGCATATAATTATTTATAATAGTCTCTTATGATCTTTTTTATATCTGAGGCATCTGTTGAAATATCTTCTTTTTCATTTTTGATTTTACTAATAAGTCTTTTTTTCTTAGTTATTCTAGCTAAGGATTCAAGTAACTTGCAAGTAGTTACTATCATTCTTATTTTGTAAATAAGGAAACTGAGTCTCAGTAAAGTTCAATATCTGGCCATGCTATGTCACTTTCAGTCAGCAAAATTGAATCCACAGTGAGTAGCTCAGTAGAAAATATTTAATATGGAGAACTATTCTCAAAGGAGTTGGCAGAGCTGAAAAAGCAAATAAGAGGTAGTGAAGCAACTCAGAACTCAGGAATAGCAAAAAGCCATCATCAGCCCTGGGACTGAAGGTCCAAGGAGTAGGTGGTATTACCAGACTCCAAGTGCTAGAGTGGCCTGATGTAAGCTACAATCACTACAGTGCAAGAACTATAAACTACAAAGAAGATGGACCCTGCTGCCCGAGGACTCCCTGTAGCAGAAAGAGTGGGAGAGAAAGAAACCAGCTTTCTTCTTGTTTCACCTTTCATTTCTCTTCCAGTGCCCTCCATTGGCTGATCCTAGCTAGAATACAACTGGCAAAAGAGCTTGTGAAATGCAGTTTGATGAAGTCAGTGCCCTGCAATACAGAATAGAGCAGAGAAAGTACAAGGAAAAGATCGAAGAGCAAGTAGGCTAGTGACCAGAATATCAAACAGGGACTCACAGCCAATAAGTGGCAAACCTGTGATTGAAACTCAAGTCTTTATACTCAGAAGACACAAGTACACCTTGACTTTTTAAAAATGCTCTAGTGTCCTTCAAGTGAAAGTAACTCTTTTTTTTGTATGTAGTATATCTTAATTTTTTCCTTGTTTCTGCTTTTTAAAAAACTAGCTCATAGGATGAAGAGACTGTGTTAAAAAGGGGACAGAAAAATGATGGGATACCTTGCTTGCACCTTTCCAGGTACTTCCAGGTAAACATTAAACAATGGTATGGATATCAGAAAATGACACTACTGTAGAAACAAGCAGCCAAGCATAATATTGGTGAAGACAGGCTTTATTGTTGGACAAACTGGCTTTGGAATAATATGACGGATCACACTTGCTTGTCACGTAATCTTGGGATAAAATTATGTAAATTATTTGATCTTCAGTTTCCTCATCCATAAAATGGGAATAATAACATGAACTGTTCATAGTTGCATTCATAGTGGAATTTATGAGGGATAAATTAAAGTATATATCATAAATACATAGATAGTTTTAATTTATTCATGTATATATACATATACATACACATATAAATATACATATATATAGTCACCTCATTATAATAGTGACTATTATATATTAGTCACCTCATTAAGTTCCTGATGTTTACTAGTGGTCAATCAGTGGCAGATACTGTTGGTGTCATGTCACGCAGTGTGAAAAGACAGCTAGAATTTGAATAGAATAGCATGCAGTTCAGAACATCCCACACTTCCTTCAAGGTAAAATTCACAGGACCCAAAAGTCAGTATTTTTGTACTAGATCATCTCCCTCAAGTGTCATGCTACAAATTCTTGAATTTTGACAAATTTGAAAAAAAAACTTACTTTAGACACTGAAGTTTCAGATATTCACTTTGATTCACTATAGTGATAGTACTTTGGAATAATTTCATCATTCGTAATGAATCCTCAGTAGAAAATGAATTTAAAGTGATTATATTCTAATGGAATAACATGGCAGTTTATGTAACCATATTGAAGAGGTTATCAAGAACTTGGATCAATTTAGATTTATTTTGCTATTTTTTATTTGGAAATGGAATGCAATATTATCTAAAAATTCTCACCTTGGGAATGTAAATTGGTTCAACGATTGTGGAAGACAGTGTGGTGATTCCCCAAAGGCTTAGAACCAGAAATACCATTTGACCCAGCAATCCCATTACTGGGTATATACCCAAAGGAATATAAATTATTCTATTATAAAGATACATGCACGCATATGTTCATTAAAGCACTATTCACAATAGCAAAGACATGTTATCAACCCGAATGCCCATAAATGATAGACTGGATAAAGAAAATGTGGGGCATATACACCAGGAAATACTACGCAGCCATAAAAAGTAATAAGATAATGTGCTTTGCAGGGTCATGGATGGAGCTGGAAGCCATTATCCTCAGCAAACTAACACAAAAACAGAAAACCAAACACTGCATGCACTCACTTATAAGTAGGAGCTGAACAATCAGAACACATGGACACAGGGAAGAGAACAACACACACTGTCAGGGAGTCAGTAGGGAGGGAGAGCATCAGGATAAATGGCTAATGCACGTGGGGTTTAATACCTAGGTGATAGGTTGATAGGTGCAGCAAATCACCATAGCACACGTTTACCTACGTAAGTAACAAACCTGCACATCCTGTACATGTATCCAAGAACGTAAAATATAATTTAATTTAATTTAATAGAATTTAATTTAATAGAATTTAATAGAATTAAATTTAATTTTAAAAAATACATATATATGTATGTGTATATATATATGCATGTGTATATATATACATATACACATATATGCATTTATGTGTATATATCATATGTGTGTGTATATGTATAGGAATATGTATTTGAAAAAAATAAGGTTTTTCTCAAACTTGTCAAAATTCAAGAATTTGTAGCATGACATTTGAGGGAGTTGATCTAGCACAAAAATACTGCCTTTTGGATCCTGTGAATTTTACCTTGAAGGAAGTCTGGGATGTTCTGAACTGCATGCTATTCTATTCAAATTCTAGCTGTCTTTTCACACTGCATGACATGACACCAACAATGTGTGTGTGTGGTATATATATGTGTGTGTGTATATATATATGTGTTTATATATTATATATATAATATATATGTATTATATTTGTATCATATATGTGTATATATAATATATATATAATATAATATGCATTATATAATATGTATATAATATATAATATGCATTATATAATATGTATATATTATATAATATATATACTATGTAGATAATTATATAATATATATTATGTATATATTATATTATATATATGTATATATAATATAATATATATAACATGTATATATTATATATTATATATATACACATATATATATAATTAAAAAGAGCCATTCCGGAGCCATGGTCTAACATTTTCCAGACTGGATCAATAAAACAAGCCTCAACAAGTTCTTAAAATCTTAAATAAAATATTCTCGCCTAAATATGTTTCCACTGCTTTCTCATGGCAAGGAATTTCCTAAGATAGATAGTAGATATGTGACCCTTTGTAAGAATAAATTGACAGATACAGTTTCTCTTAGCTTAATGCTGACATAAATTTAATTTGAATGTGGATAAGAAGTAGCTGTTGGAATTCACAGGAACCACTGAATTCACGTCTGATTCCAAGAGTACGGAAGCATCATTATTAATTTCCTATTGTTTGAGACATGTATAGTCTCTTCATCACCATAAATTATTTTGCCTTTAGGCATGCTGTTGGACATAATAAATAATTTCCTTTTTGTCATTCTGCCTTGCATCTGTTAACAAGTTGAGCTGAATCCACACACCATTTTTGGCATATTCATATGCTGACCAAACTATAACCTCCCCTTCGTTCACCCCTGAGCCTATCTCTCACTAGCTATCTCTCTACTACCAAATACTTATCTCTCACTCTGAGGGCAAAGGTATACCAGTTCAAAGAAGAGAGAGACACCAGAGAAGAAAAGGCAAAAGTGAAAGGGCATTTCCCAATATCCAGAGTAAAGCTAGTCCAGGCTTCACATCCATGGCTTTCAAAGGTTGCAACCTCAAATTAATAGGAACAGCTTCTGCACCTGTGTTCCTTCACAAACGGGAGAACTTCAAAATCACCTGAAAGGTCAAAATGTTCCTACTTTTGGTTTTTCCTGTTATTAAATAAAGTAGCTGAGAGCTGGGTCTGTGGTTAACCAGGACCACTGCTGTCCCCTCAAGAAAGGATATAAACAAATAGCCAGAAAGCCAGCTGGGCACAGTGGCTCACACCTGTAATCCCAGCACTTTGGGAGGCCAAGGCAGAAGGATTACATAAGCCCAGGAGTTTGAGACCAGCCTGGGAAACATGGAAAGACCCTGTCTCTACAAAAAATTTTTTAAAATCTGGGCATGGTGGCATGCCTATTGTCCCAGCTACTAGGCAGACGGAGGTGGGAGGATCACTTGAGCCCAGGAGTTGAAGGCTGCAGTGAGTTATGATCATGCCAATGCCCTCCAACTTTGGCAACAGAATGAGTCCCTGTCTCTAAGAAAAAATAAATAAATAAAAGAGTCAGAAAATAGTTAACACCTTCATAAAGCAGCTTCTCCCCTTCTCCCAGTTTTTGCTGTAACTCACAGTTATTGCTATAACTGCAGTATTCATTTTATTTCCCTCCAAGTTCAGTGTACTAATATAACCCTATTAACCAGACAGAAGTAGGATACTGCACTAGACTCCTATATATCTTTCATTCATTCAGAAAATATTTATTGAGCAACTGTAGTATGCTAAGTACAGTCTTAGTTTCAGTTACCAAAACAGACAGAAATCACTCCTCCTGTTGAATTTACATTCTGGTGGGAGAAAGAGACGATAAATAAGATAAATAATATATAATATGTTAGATGATAACTGTGGTGGAGGAATCAAACAAGAAGGTATATAAAGAATGTTAAAGGTAGGGAGTATATCCAACATCTTATTAAATGCCAGTGTCACCCTAGGGTTTATGAAAGCTCTTGAGATTTAACTGAGAGTCATTCTCATGATATAAACAATTAATATATCAAGCCTTACAAAAATGACTCCACTCATTTGAATAGTAGAAGTTTGACAGTTAATTCATAAGAATTTTCAGGACCATGTACTGGCTTATTTAATGATATAATTCTATCTTTAATGATAGATGACAGGGTCTTGGGTTATGACTAAAAAGTGTTCATTCTTTTTTAAAAAAAATTTTTTATTTTTGACAGAATTAGAATTTTTTTATTATACTTTAAGTTCTAGGGTACATGTGCACAACGTACAGGTTTGTTACATATGTATACATGTGCCATGTGGGTGTGCTGTACCCATTAACTCATCATTTACATTAGGTATATCTCCAATGCTATCCCTGCCCCCTCCCCCCACCCCATGACAGGCCCTGGTGTGTAATGTTCCCCACCCTGTGTGCAAGTGTTTTCATTGTTCATTTCCCACCTATGAATGAGAACATGCCGTGTTTGGTTTTCTGTCCTTGCGATAGTTTGTTCAGAATGATGGTTTCCAGCTTCATCCACGTCCCTACAAAGGACATGAACTCATCATTTTTTATGGCTGCATAGTATTCCATGATGTATATATGCCACACTTTCTTAATCCAGTCTATCATTGATGGACATTTGGGTTGGTTCCAAGTCTTTGCTATTGTGTATAGTGCCACAATAAACATACTTGTGCATGTGTCTTTATAGCAGCATGATTTATAATCCCTTGGGTATATACCCAGTAACGGGATGGCTGGGTCAAATGGTATTTCCAGTTCTAGCTACTTGAGGAATTGCCACACTGTCTTCCACAATGGTTGAACTAGTTTACAGTCCCACCAACAGTGTAAAAGTGTTCCTATTTCTCCACATCCTCTCCAGCACCTGTTGTTTCCTGACTTTTTAATGATGGCCATTCTAACTGGTGTGAGATGGTACCTCATTGTGGTTTTGATTTGCATTTCTCTGATGGCCAGTGATGATGAGCATTTTTTCATGTGTTTTTCGGTTGCATAAATGTCTTCTTTTGAGAAGTGTCTGTTCATATCCTTCACCCACTTGTTGATGGGGTTGTTTGATTTTTTTTTTTTTTTTGAAATTTAAGTTCTTTGTAGATTCTGGATACTAGCCCTTTGACAGAAGGGTAGATTGCAAAAATTTTCTCCCATTCTGTAGCTTGCCTGTTCACTCTGATGGTAGTTTCTTTTGCTGTGCAGAAGCTCTTTAGTTTAATTAGATCCCATTTGTCAACTTTGGCTTCTGTTGCCATTGCTTTTGGTGTTTTAGACATGAAGTTATTGCCCATGCCTATGTCCTGAATGGTATTGCCTAGGTTTTCTTCTAGGGTTTTTATGGTTTTAGGTCTAACATTTAAGTCTTTAATCCATCTTGAATTAATTTTTATATAAGGTGTAAGGAAGGGATCCAGTTTCAGCTTTCTACATATGGCTAGCCAGTTTTCCCAGCACCATTTATTAAATAGGGAATCCTTTCCCTATTTCTTGTTTTTGTCAGGTTTGTCAAAGATCAGATGGTTGTAGATGTGTAGTGTTATTTCTGAGGGCTCTGTTCTGTTCCATTGGTCTATATCTCTGTTTTGGTACCAGTACCATGCTGTTTTGGTTACTATAGCCTTGTAGTATAGATTGAAATTGGGTAGTGTGATGCCTCCAGCTTTCTTCTTTTGGCTTAGGATTGTCTTGGCAATTCGGGATCTTTTTTGGTTCCACGGGAACTTTAATGTAGTTTTTTCCAGTTCTGTGAAGAAAGTCATTAGTAGCTTGATGGGGATGGCATTGAATCTATAAATTACCTTGGGCAGTATGGCCATTTTCATGATATTGATTCTTCCTATCCATGAGCATGGAATATTCTTCCATTTGTTTGTATCCTCTTTTATTTCATTAAGCAGTGGTTTGTAATTCGCCTTGAAGAGGTCCTTCACATCCCTTGTAAGTTGGATTCTTAGGTATTTTTTTTTCTTTGAAGCAATTGTGAATGGGAGTTCACTCATGATTTGGCTCTCTGTTTGTCTGTTATTGGTGTATAGGAATGTTTGTAATTTTTGCACATTGATTTTGTATCCTGAGACTTTGCTGAAGTTGCTTATCAGCTTAAGGAGATTTTGGGCTGAGACGATGGGGTTTTCTAAATATACAATCATGTCATCTGCAAAGAGGGACAATTTGACTTCCTCTTTTCCTAATCAAATACCCTTTATTTCCTTCTCCAGCCTGATTGCCCTGGCCAGAACTTCCAACACTATGTTGAATAGGAGTGGTAAGAGAGGGTATCCCTGTCTTGTGCCAGTTTTCAAAGGGAATGCTTCCAGTTTTTGCCCATTCAGTATGATATTGGCTGTGGGTTTGTCATAAATAGCTCTTATTATTTTGAGATACGTCCCATCAATACCTAATTTATTGAGAATTTTTATCACGAAGGGCTGTTGAATTTTGTCGAAGGCCTTTTCTGCATCTATTGAGATAATCATGTGGTTTTTGTCATTGGTTCTGTTTACGTGATGGATTACGTTTATTGATTTGCATATGTTGAACCAGCCTTGCATCCCAGGGATGAAGCCCACTTGATCATGGTGGATAAGCTTTTTGATGTGCTGCTGGATTCGGTTTGCCAGTATTTTATTGAGGATTTTTGCATTGATGTTCATCAGGGATATTGGTGTGTCTCTACCAGGCTTTGGTATCAGGATGATGCTGGCCTCATAAAATGAGTTAGGGAGGATTGCCTCCTTTTCTATTGATTGGAATAGTTTCAGAAGGAGTGGTACCAGCTCCTCTTTGTACCTCTGGTAGAATTCGGCTGTGAATCAGTCTGGTCCTGGACTGTTTTTGTTGGTAGGCAAAAGTGTTCATTCTTAATCAGTAGGCTGGCCAGTTCTGGTCAGTCTCAGTCCTCCATTCCAATATGACTCCTGAGGTCTTGTGTGGTGCTCCTCACAGTGACCTTATTCTGGCTGGATCTGCCCAGATATATGACTTACTTGTGGGCCTGACAGAATCCAGCTTCTTATGAGCTGTTCTGTTCAAATGGTGCTTAATGGCTCATGATGGCAAGCTCTGTCTTTATCAGGGTGCAGTAGCGTGTTATGAGTTGTCTATCAAATGGTTTGTAATCCATTGCAGCAGATGACATGACTTTTTTATTTAGAACACTCAAGGTCTGTATTGTAGTTTTTTAAACCACAGCTTGCTATAAACTCCACATAGCAATTTTCTCATCATAGATATCTATAATGCTATATGAACTATCCAGACATACCGCCCAATGTCAGGGCTGCCTACACTGTAGCCTGTATCAAGTGCTGAGGGCTTTATTGCTCTGGGCTCATTAATAGACCCATATTCTCAAGTGTGGAATATGTGCTTCTAGAACCCAGAAATGTCTACCCAGTGTTGTGATTCCCTCTTAGTTGTGAAAATTTCAAAATAAAATAATTTGTTCTTTAATGTGAGGGGATTTTGCGGCATACCCTCGAATCCTGAACCTCTAAAAATGTCATTAATTTGGCAGGACGCTTCCTAAGATTTCTCTTCCACTCTCTGAAGTACCTCTAAGGTACTTTCCACTTCTTTCTTATTTGATCCCATAAACATGATGCCTCTGATTCACTGAACTACATTGATATTCTGTGGAATGTTCAGACAATCCAGATCCCTTTGGATTATGTTATGAAAAGCCCAGTAAGTTAGCATAGCCCTGGGGCAAAATCATAAATGTAAAATGTTCTCCATCCCAGGTGAATGAAAATTGCTTCTGTTCCTTCCTCCTGATAGAAATGGAAAAGAATGTATTCGCAAGATCAGTGGACACATTTAATGTCCTGAGGCAGCATTAACCTGCTCTAGCAAAGATACGTCATCTGGCACAACAGCTGCAATCGGAACAAGTATTTGTTCAAGTTTATGAGAGTCCACTGTCACCCTCCAAGACCTGTCTGCTTTTTCAGAGCAATCGTGGTGTGTTAAATGGCGCATTAACAGGATCATCCCTGGCCGGGTGCGGTGGCTCACGCCTGTAATCCTAGCACTTTGGGAGGCTGAGGAGTGTGGATCACGAGGTCAGGAGTTTGAGACCAGCCTGGCCAACATAGTGAAACCCGTCTCTACTAAAAATACAAAAAATTACCTGGGTATGGTGGTGAGCGTCTGTAATCCCAGTATGGGCAGCTGAGGCAGGAGAATCGCTTGAACCCAGGAGGCAGAGATTGCAGTGAGCCTAGATCACTCCACTGCACTCAGGAACTCTTCCTTAGGATGAGGTGGTTGTTGTTTTGTTTTAATTATCTTTCTTGGAGTGAGGGAGTTCCTGAGGCTTCCAATATGCTTTCCCTCCTAGAATAACTATTACCCCATAGGCCAAGGATTAATGTGGCCTTTTAAGATGATCTAAAAACTTATTGTCTACAATATAAGCTCTCTTTTTATGGTTTTTTCAAATATGCCTTCCAAGAAATAATTTTCAACAATGAAAATTCTACTGGTTAACAAATATTTTAAAATGTGAAAATGTACTCTTACTAATAATCACTTCACCAGTGATGACAAGAGTATGGTAAAATGGGCACTTTTGTGTTGCTGTTTCTGGAGTTGCTATGTTGACACAGGACAATTTGCAACATATGTCAAGAATTTCAAAAATGTTCCCACCTTTTGAACTGAACTTCCCAATTCTAATAATGTATCCTAAGGTAAAAAATAATAAATATAATTATACTTAAGAACATATGGATTTCAGTATTTGTTGAAATATTACTTCCATATTTTCATTACTTAAACAAGTACAGACTAAGAAATACGTGATTCTAATAAAACAAAAAATAGAAAATATAGATTGGGGGAGGTATGTAAAGTTACATTGCCAAAATCTCATTCGCCAGAAATAATCATTGTTAACATTTTCTGGCTGATTCTTCCAGTTGTTTTCCAAGTGATCAGAAACACAAATACATGCAAAAAATAGATTACCATAAAATAATGTTTTATTTAATAATGTTTTTTCCCATTTACAAATAATAATTCTCTTCAATTCTGTAATACCATAATATATAAATGTACATCATTTTACTTAGGAACCACATGGCTTTCTATTATGAGACCATGCCAATATGTTTTTTAACAATCTAGCATTGCTAGACATTTAGGTTGCTTTCCACTGTTCATGGTTTATGTACAACACGGAGATGAATATCTGTCTGTACATACCTATGGATACTTCTTTAATTGCATGCTTAGAATAAATACAAGGAATTCAATTTCTTTTTTCTTTCTTTTTTTTATTTTTATCTCAATTTTTTTGAGACAGGGTCTTGTTCTGTCACCAGGCTGGAGTGCAGTGGCACGATCATGGCTCACTGCAGCCTCAACCTCCTAGGGTCAAGCAATCCTCCCGCTTCAGCCTCCTGAGTAGCTAGGACTACATAAGTGCACCACCAGACCCAACTAATTTTGAAATTTTTCTTTTGTGGAGACAGGGTTCGCTATGCTGACCAGACTGGTTTCCAACTCCTGGCCTCAAGCAACCCTTTCATCTTAGGCTCCCAGAGTGCTAGGATTATAGGTGTGAGTCACTGTGCCTGGCCCAATTTCTTTAAAGTACCCAATATTTAGGGTCTTTGATATATATATTGTTAAAGTATCTTGTAGGGAAGTTATATCAACTCCATGAGTGCTTGGAAATACCTATTTCCCCACAGTTCTGACAGCACAAGATGTTACTAGTGTTTAGATAAAACAACATATTTTAAGTATATGTCTTTTGTTACTATAACATGTGAACATTTTAAATGTTTGTCATATTTTCTGTAGTGTATCATCTATGCATCAAGCTTAGACCATTTTTGTCTTTTTTCATATTTTTAATTATTGATTTCTAAGAGCTTTTTAGATAGTTTGGTTTGTCATATTTCCTTCAACATTATGTTTGTATGTATCCATAATTAAAAGCAGCTTTTAAATTCTGTGCATTTAAATATACTAAATATTTTCTTTGTGACTTCTGCTTTGTTTCTCAGAAATTCCCTTCTATACCAAGATTATATAATAATTCACCCTTATATTCTGCTAGCCCTTTTAGATACCATTTTAAATATTAAATGATCAATCCATCTGGAATTTATTTAGAAAAAAGTTAAGAAGGGTAATCTAATTTGTGCTTATTTTGGGGTGATGGTGTTCAGGACATTATTTTCATTTGCCCACTACTTTGCAATACTATCTTTATCAGATTCTAAATTTGAAATAACTGGAAGTAACTTGAATATCCCATAGTAAAAGATAATTAAATCCAATTATTCAATAAAATATTGGGCTGTAATTAAATACCATGTTTACAATGAATTTTCATTACCTTTTTCTTATGCTGGAGGAAAGTAAGCAATTAAATTCTAGAAACAATAGGCTTAAAACTGTATTTTTTCATATATTCAAAAATTTACTTCTAGGGAGAAAAAGGACTCCCCAAAATATACAGAAACAATAATTACTTCTGTGTGTTAAGAACATGGCAGAATGTTCCCTGCTTCTTTTGGCCTTTCTGTATATTATAATTTTTTAGATGAGTATGTTCCTTTTGTAATGGGAAAAAAAATCTTACATTTTATTTAAAAATATGATAAGCATACCTAGTTGTATTCTCCATCTTAAGGGCAAAATATCAAGAAAACGTGAATTAAAGGGCCTGCAGTTTTCAGCAAAAGAAGGAATACAGGCATTTTGGTTATCTCTTTTACCACTATGAGAGCTTCCATGCTAACTGGCTATTTGGGAGGATGAATGAGTCAGCATTCTCCAATGCAGGTCGGCACCTCTGAATCCTCTCCCCCAAACCCCACAACCATTTATCCTAAAGGCTCCCATTTCCATTTATTATGGCAAGCTCAAATGCTTGCCCAAGGTCTGAGGGGGTCAATTTGCTGTGAAAAATCGATTAGGCATCATCGTTCCGACAGAGTACTTAAATTCCAAGGGAGCCTTAAACGAGGCTTATACAGAATTGTTCACAAGGTGGCTTTTAAGGGGTATGTGCTTTGAGAAATTGTCAGTACTGGAACTTTATTGATTGATCTGAGCAACAATTCAGTGAAATTGCATAAGATACTTGTACAACTGTTAATGTAGTGAAGAAAAAGAAACACGTAACTAGGCCAGAGAGAAAATACCTCTTGAAGGGGATATAGCATTCTGTTCTACCCAGAAAATGTGAGGCAAAACCCAATGCTGTTGTGTAAATTACATTGTATAAGATGTTTTTCCTTTTCTTATTTCTCCTTAACACTCTTTCAGAGCTTACACTTTGGAGAAGCAGTGAAGTGGCTACCAAATTCTCACATTTATTCCTGGTCCTCAAATTCACCCACTTCTTCACTCCATTTGGAGAAAGAGTAACTGCCATATACTCCAACCGATGGAGATTCTCACGCTCAAGGCTCTGGCTGGGGAGACAATAGCTCAGTGATCCCAAAATAATGTTCCCTTTGCTTTTTTTATTTATTTTTTTGATACAGAGTCTCGCTCTGTTGCCCAGGCTGGAGTGCAGAGGCGCAATCTCGGCTCATTGCAATTTCTTTCTCCCAGTTCAAGCATTTCTCCTGTCTCAGCCTCCTGAGTAACTGGGACTACAGTTGCCTGCAACCAAGCCCGGCTAATTTTTTGTGTTTTTAGTAGAGATAGGGTGCCAAGTCGGGGAGACCCTAACCCAGCGGCTTTAGAAGAATTAAAGACACACACACAGAAATATAGAGGTGTTGAGTGGGAAATCAGGGGTCTCACAGCCTTCAGAGCTGAGAGCCTCGAACGGAGATTTACCCACGTATTTATTGACAGCAAGCCAGTGATAAGCATTGTTTCTATAGATTATAGATTAACTAAAAGTGTTCCTTACAGGAAACAAAGGGATGGGCCAAAGTAAAGGGATGGGCTCTGGCTAGTTACCTGCAGCAGGAGAACGTCCTTAAGGCACACGTTGCTGACGCTATTGCTTGTGGTTTAAGAATGCCTTTAAGTGGTTTTCTGCCCTGGGTGGGCCAGGTGTTCCTTGCCCTCATTCCGGTAAACCCACAACCTTCCAGTGTGGGTGTCACGGCCACCATGAACATGTCACAGTGCCGCAGAAATTTTGTTTATGACCCATTTTGGGGCCAGTTTATGACTGGATTTTGGGGGCCTATTCCCAACAATAGGGTTTCACCTTGTTGGTCAGGCTGGTCTCAAACTCCTGACCTTGGGTGATCCACCCGCCTCAGCCTCCAAAAGTGCTAGAATTACAGGCGTGAGCCACCACACCCAGCCCCCTTGCTTTTTTTCTACATGACTTATCCCATCCTAACCAGGTAGCAGGATAAGAGGATGACATTTTCAAAAAGACATATCCACAGTGATATAGAGCCCAAATTAAATTAGAGTAATAATTTTTTAAAGTACAAATCTATAAGAATTATCAATAAGTGTAAAGAAAAGCCACTGCCTATATCTGCAAGATTAGTAAAAGCAATGATTGGCTCCTAATAACAGGCCATGGAAAAGGAGAAAAAATAAGAAACATGAAATAAGTTTCTTTCTCCTGAGACTCTAACAGTCTTGAAATGAAACAAAAATCATGATGAATCTAGGTGGCCAGTGCTCATGTTGTAATGTTTGTTAAATATTTTGAATGTCACCTCTGCTTTTAATGTTGCAGAAACTGTGCAAGGTACTTTTCATACCCAAAGAAAGTATCTTATCATTTTATAAGATCTTACTATTGTCCTATTCTTGCTTAAAGACACACAGCTACTTAAGTATATAGATGGAAAAGGATTTTCAGTTAAAGATGTACACTGAATGTACATATTTACTTTCAACCCCTTCCAAAACTCCATTAAACTGACAGTAAAGAAGTTTTTAGGCATGATCACAAAGGACAGGGAGACAGGCAGAGAGGACATCAGCAGCAAACTCATAAAGTCTAAAAAACAAATAAATGAGAGGTCAATATTTGGGAGATTTGAAAATACTAAACCATAGGCTGATGGGGTGAAAGTTAAAAACCAAATCAATTTGAGGCTGCAGAATTCCCAGTAGGTTCAGGAATTGGTAACATCAGTACTCTGAAAGAGGGAATGAATAGGGCTAAAATTACAAAGATTAGTTGAATATCTGTGTAGGAATCAACTATAAAAATCAGATTATGTCCACGCACGGTAGCTCATGCCTGTAATCCCAGCACTTTGGGGGGCTGAGGTGGGTAGATTGCTTAAGTCTGGAAGTTTCAGACCAGGCTGGGCAACATGACAAAACTCCATCTCTATAAAAAACACAAAAATTAACTAGGCATGGAGGCACATGCCTGTAGTCCCAGTTGTTCGGGAGGCTAAAGTGGGAGGATCACTTGAGCCCAGGAAGCAGTTTGCAGTGAGCCAAGATTGCTCCACTGCACTTCAGCCTGGACAACAGAGTGAGACTCTGTCTCAAAAATAAAAAAAGATCAGACAGTACTCCATACAATCCATACAATCAGGTAATTTCTTCTTCCTTCCTCTGGCAAGAATCAGAAGATTTATTTTCTGAAAATGTAAAAACAGTCTTTGTGATGTGGCTCACCAAATAGAATTGAGACTTGATACATTGCATTGAATAAAGGAAGTGCATTTGGATGCTGAAATCCTGAGCATTTTTCCCCACTGTGCTTCCAAACTTCTGGCAACCAGTCCTTGACCATCTAGGCAGGAAATTAGTAGCAACCTCCCTGAGAATCCGCTGAGCCTAAGAGAAAAGTCTTAACAATATTAACATTGATGTATCATCAACTGCATGACCCAGCCAGGTCAATTTAGTGAAAGTCACAGTCAATAATGCCTATCAGCACATTTAGAGCCTTCAATTAGTATTTTCAGTCATGGATGATCAGATGTCTAATAGTTCATATAGTAAGGGAAATACTGTTACATGAAGTTCTAATCCCCAATGATGTGCAAATGTGTATTTCTCTCTCTCCTGCCCTATCTTTTCATGTGTGTGTGTGTATGAATGAGATGTGTAGTGGGTACAGAAATAAAAAATACTTTTAACTTTACAGTCAAATGTGTTTAAAAGTCCATGCTGTAATTTCATTGATAATAACCACCAAGAAATTGATTGTAAAATCCTGGAAAAATCAGAGTCTATGCAGGTAGAAGAAAACTAAAATGAATTATGAATGAAAGACCCTTACTATATTCAGGAAAACTATAATTATATTAATGAAGTACATTACACACAAAAAAGGAACACTTTTAATACCCAAAATAGTCCTTGGAAGTTAAGCAGAAGCATCAAGATTCAATAGCAATTTAGAACTTCATAAAACGGGAGGAAGGAAATATAGAAGAAATTTCCCAGAAAGCAAAGCAAAATAATTAAACTTTATTGATCACAACTTTAGATGTGTTGTCATTCAATCCTCACAACAATCCATAAGCTGAAAAGACTGAACTTTATAGCTGAAGAGACTGAAGGACAGAATGTTTAAATAACTTCCAAGTGTTCACACAGGTAATAAGTGGTAGACTCATGACCTGAAACCAATTTAATGCAATCCTCTTTTGCAGCCCCAAATTATATTACTCTTTCTGTTCTGCTCCTGATTTTTTCTTTCTATTAATATACTTTTAAAAAGTGTTTTGTGACTGCTTCAAATCTTTTTCAGATGTAGATGGGCTATAAATGCATTCGGTAAGTAAATACACTGAGCTAAGCACCATATGAGACAATGAAGAACAAATGAATAAGCCACTATTTCAGTTTTTACTTGCATGCTTACTTCTCTCACTGTATCTAATTCTTAAAGAAAATAACTTATTTTGATCATCCGAAGCTCACTATACAACTTTTTGGACATAGTAGATGCTCAGAAAATTATTTTAAATCAGTTGAATATTCCAACGAGATAAAATCTGAGATTTTAACCCAGAAAAGATTAGTTGTTACATCATTTCCTTCCTCCTAAAACCAGCAAACCTCATCCTCAAACATCCTCAAAGCCCCCGATGTCTCTTTGGTGCCTCCTGACTATGCAGAGCTCAGACCTCTTATTCCCTTGCCACACACACACACACACACACACACACACAGAGATGGCTTTTGGAAAGCCCAACAATAGTGGTCTCCTCATCTAAGCACCAGAGATGAATGTGTGCCCATTAAGTCCTGGCTCCCAGACACACAGTTTAGTCCCAGTTGGATTCTGTGCTACATCTTCACGTGAGAGACTTCTACTTCTTACTTGCCCTCAAGAACTCTACTCATTCAGGCCCACCTCCCTGGCCAACTACCACTCCTACTTAATTGAACTTGGCAGGTGGCTAGTTAGTCCCCTGAATTAAAACTTTATGTATTTTTCCCATATGATTGTCATCCTCCTGGGACTCTTCCTGTAGATGGAGGGGCTGCAGTTCCATTATGAATATTTTCTTATTTTTATGGAACACTGGTTGCAAAAATAAAGTGGTAAGGTGGTGATTTGCTCAAAATGCAGGCTTTAAAAGGCCACTCCAACAAAAGCCCTGGGGGAGAATTGAAGACTGCTCTGCCAGGATCTGGTGCAAGCTACTTATCTTCATATGACTCAGTTTCCCTTCCTTAAATAAGGCAGTTGGACTAAAAGCATGATTATATACTTCATACTTCATGCTTCAGAGCCCTAGGGTTTCACCATGGTACCTCAGGGACCATCCAAAGTAGAGGGCTGAAGGAGGCTGAGAAAGTAAGGCTTAGTGGCTTCCATCCCTGCATCAATGTGAGAAATTCTGTTAACAATTTGTGTAAGATTTTATCTGCCAGAAGAAAGTTCTGCTGCAAAAGAAAGCAAAACGAGAAATATCAGATTCCATGATCTCTAAGATCCTTACTAGTTCTTTCAATGATTCTATAATATGTCCCTGGACATAGTATTCATAGCATTTTAAAATTGTCCTTATTTGGAAAAAACAAAACAGAACTTATTTAGCTTGTGTATTAGTCTGTTTTCATGCTGCTGATAAAAATATACCTGAGACTGGGAAATTTGCAAAAGAAAGAAGTTTAATTGGATTTGCAGTTTCATGTGGCTGGGGAAGCCTCACAATCATGGTGGAAGGCAAGGAAGAGCAAGTCATATCTTACGTGGATGGCGGCAGGCAAAAGAGGGAACTTGTGCAGGGGAACTCCTCTTCCTAAAACCATCAGGTCTCATGAGACTTATTCACTATCACAAGAACCACATAGGAAAGACTTGTCCCCATGATTCAATCACCTCCCACTGGGTCCCTCCCATAACATGTGGGAATTCAAGATGAGATTTGGGTGGGGACACAGCCAAACCATATTAACCTGTCATAATATTTTTCTCTCCCTTTCTTCTCCCCCCCTCTCTCTCTCTGTCTCTCTCTCTCTCATTCCCTTGTGTCTTAGGTGACCCATCTTAGCATCAGAGCCTATTCAATTGATGTCCTCAAATGAGTGCTGCTAACCTGAGTATCCAAACAGTTATTTCAATTTATGGTTGCATATCCTGACTAATATATAATTCCTTAACTACAGAAAAAGTGTGTTTCAATTTGAGATTATAAGCTAAAGCAGTGTTCATTGCAAATGATTGAAAATGCAACAGGGAAGAAAGAGAAAAAAAGAAAGCAAGAGAAGTACTAGAAAGTGAGAGATGGAGGAAGTTAGCCTTACTGAGCACCTACATTGTGCAGATCTGTGCCTTATTAGAACTTCTTACCATAACCTTACACGTTAGGAAACTGTAAGTCAACAAGATTAAGTAAATTTCCCTAAGTTCCACAACATGCAACGAAAACGTTCAGGATTTGAATCCAACTTTGGAACACTGTTCAGCCCACATTCTTTCTTCTCCTTACCTCAGTTTATATGTTACTAATAAGCACCACACATTCCAAGCCAAATGGCTTCACTGTGACCCTGCTGGTTGCCTTTTATGAAGATATTTATAAAAATGTTTATTCAGGGTTACCCATTGGCTCCGCTTCTTTCACACAGCTGTCAGTTTTCTATCTCAAGCATTCATGTGCTCTTAATAAGAAATCTCCAGTCTCTCTCACGATTTACCAGAACCTGTGTTCTTCCCACTCTCAATTATAACTCCAGCTCTCAACTCCCTCCTGAGTCTTTGTCAGGAGGTTGCCACCTGAGTGTCTTAAGACATGTATGTCACATTCAATGAATTTGAATGAAACCTCGTTATCTCTTCCCAAATTTCCCCAAACCAGCTTCTCTGCCATTCCCCATCTCAGTTAACAGAAAACCATTCACCAAGGCAGAAACAAAAAATCAGCTTTGACTCTTGCCTTCTCCAGTCTTTATATCCAGCCACCATCAGTTTCCAGCCAAGTGACCTCCTCTCTGTCTCTTTTTTCTTCATATCCTCAATTCTATAGGTTGGTGGAGGTAAATTCCTTTCTCTCAGCATATGATAGCATCCAGCTCCTTTTCTCTCTTTTTTTTTTTTTCGTTTAGTTCACTTTCTAAAAGCAAAATTGATTATATTCGATCCTTGTTTAAAACCTTTCAAATTAACCATCCACTACTTGAAACTCTCTCCCCCATTAGCCTTCAGGTGACACAATATTTCCGGTTTCAACTTCTATGGCAACTTTTCTTTACTTATTCATTGGCTTTATTTATTTCCCCCCTTAATCGTTCTCTTCTTTTTTTTTTTTTTTTAGAATTTTCCCCCTTTGTTCTTTACTCTGCTTATATATCTTCTCCTTTTGCAATGCTGCAACTACCATCCATATGTTGATAACACCTACATCTCTATCTACACCCCTGATATCTCACCAAGGCTCTAAATCCATATTTCTTTCTACCTACTGAGCTCATGATTTTTCTCATAAAACCCATTCTTTTGGGTGATCATTCTCTCTCCACAATGCCACAAGTTATCAACTCCCCAAGCATAAAGAAAACATTAACCCTCCTCCTCTTACAGTCCCAGAAAGAAACTAGACATCTACTACATTCAAATGTCCCTTAGGAAAGCCTGTAAATTCTGACTCTTTTTCTCATCCTTTCTGTAATTGTCTCTGTCCAGATCTTTACCTTTTCTCCTGATATATGGAAACTACTTCTCTGAATATTCCCTTTTACTTCTATTTATCTAATCTACCGATTCCAAAATTATCTCCTTTAAAAACACCGGCATAGCTCAGCGATAAGCAAGTGTGGTTCAAAACCACCACAATAAAGCAAATATTGCAATAAAATGAGTCCAGCGCAGTTTTTAGTTTCCCAGGGCATTTAAAAGTTATGTTTACACTATGCCATTGTCCACTGAGTGTGCAATAGCACTATGTCTAAATAACAATGTACATGCCTTAATTTAAAACTTTATTGCAAAAAAAATGCTAACAATCATCAGAGCCTTCAGCAAGCTGTAATCTATAGCTGATGCTGGGTCTTACCTCAGTGTTGATGTCTGCTGGACTGATCAGCGTGGTGGCTGCTGAAGGTTGAGGTGGCTGTCATAATTTCTTAAAATTAAACAACAAAAATTTTTCTACAACTATTGACTCTTCCTTTCATAAAAGTTTTCTCTGTAGCGTGTTATGCTGTTTGACAACATTTTAGCCACAGTATAATTTATTTCAAAATTGGAGTTCGGAGGAGCCAAGATGGCCGAATGGGAACAGCTCCAGTCTACAGCTCCCAGCGTGAGCGACGCAGAAGACGGGTGATTTCTGCATTTCCATCTGAGGTACCGGGTTCATCTCACTAGGGAGTGCCAGACAGTGAGCGCAGGTCAGTGGGTGTGCGCACCGTGCACGAGCCAAAGCAGGGCGAGGCATTGCCTCACTTGGGAAGCGCAAGGGGTCAGGGAGTTCCCTTTCTGAGTCAAAGAAAGGGGTGAGGGACGACACCTGGAAAATCGGGTCACTCCCACACGAATACTGCGCTTTTCAGATGGGCTTAAAAAACGGCGCACCAAGAGATTATATCCGGCATCTGGCTTGGAGGGTCCTACGCCCAGGGAGTCTCGCTGATTGCTAGCACAGCAGTCTGAGATCAAACTGCAAGGCGGCAGCGAGGCTGGGGGAGGGGCGCCCGCCATTGCCCAGGCTTGATTAGGTAAACAAAGCAGCCTGGAAGCTCGAACTGGGTGGAGCCCACCACAGCTCAAGGAGGCCTGCCTGCCTCTGTAGGCTCCACCTCTGGGGGCAGGGCACAGACAAACAAAAAGACAGCAGTAACCTCTGCAGACTTAAGTGTCCCTGTCTGACAGCTTTGAAGAGAGCAGTGGTTCTCCCAGCACGCAGCTGGAGATCTGAGAACGGGCAGACTGCCTCCTCAAGTGGGTCCCTGACCCCTGACCCCCGAGCAGCCTAACTGGGAGGCACCCCCCAGCAGGGGCACACTGACACCTCACAAGGCAGGGTATTCCAACAGACCTGCAGCTGAGGGTCCTGTCTGTTAGAAGGAAAACTAACAAACAGAAAGGACATCCACACCAAAAGCCCACCTGTACATCACCATCATCAAAGACCAAAAGTAGATAAAACCACAAAGATGGGGAAAAAACAGAATAGAAAAACTGGAAACTCTAAACAGCAGAGCGCCTCTCCTCCTCCAAAGGAACACAGTTCCTCACCAGCAACGGAACAAAGCTGGATGGAGAATGACTTCGAGGAGCTGAAAGAAGACGGCTTCAGACGATCAAATTACTCTGAGCTACAGGAGGACATTCAAACCAAAGGCAAAGAAGTTGAAAACTTTGAAAAAAAATTTAGAAGAATGTATAACTAGAATAACCAATACAGAGAAGTGCTTAAAGGAGCTGATGGAGCTGAAAACCAAGGCTCCAGAACTACGTGAAGAATGCAGAAGCCTCAGGAGCTGATGCGATCAACTGGAAGAAAGGGTATCAGCGATGGAAGATGAAATGAATGAAATGAAGCGAGAAGGGAAGTTTAGAGAAAAAAGAATAAAAAGAAATGAGCAAAGCCTCCAAGAAATATGGGACTATATGAAAAGACCAAATCTACGTCTGATTGGTGTACCTGAAAGTGATGGGGAGAATGGAACCAAGTTGGAAAACACTCTGCAGGATATTATCCAGGAGAACTTCCCCAATCTAGCAAGGCAGGCCAACGTTCAGATTCAGGAAATACAGAGAACGCCACAAAGATACTCCTCGAGAAGAGCAACTCCAAGACACATAATTGTCAGATTCACCAAAGTTGAAATGAAGGAAAAATGTTAAGGGCAGCCAGAGAGAAAGGTCGGGTTACCCCCAAAGGGAAGCCCATCAGACTAACAGCAGATCTCTCAGCAGAAACCCTACAAGCCAGAAGAGAGTGGGGGCCAATATTCAACATTCTTAAAGAAAAGAATTTTCAACCCAGAATTTCATATCCAGCCAAACTAATCTTCATAAGTGAAGGAGAAATAAAATACTTTACAGACAAGCAAATGCTGGGAGATTTTGTCACCACCAGGCCTGCCTTACAAGAGCTCCTGAAGGAAGCACTAACCATGGAAAGGAACAACCGGTACCAGCCGCTGCAAAATTATGCCAAAATGTAAAGACCATCCAGACTAGGAAGAAACTGCATCAACTAACGAGCAAAATAACCAGCTAACATCATAATGACAGGATCAAATTCACACATAACAATATTAACTTTAAATGTAAATGGACTAAATGCTCCAATTAAAAGACAGACTGGCAAATTGGATAAAGAGTCAAGACCCATCAGTGTGCTGTATTCAGGAAACCCATCTCACGTGCAGAGACACACATAGGCTCAAAATAAAAGGATGGAGGAAGATCTACCAAGCCAATGGAAAACAAAAAAAGGCAGGGGTTGCAATCCTAGTCTCTGATAAAACAGACTTTAAACCAACAAAGACCAAAAGAGACAAAGAAGGCCATTACATAATGGTAAAGGGATCAATTCAACAAGAAGAGCTAACTATCCTAAATATATATGCACCCAATACAGGAGCACCAAGATTCATAAAGCAAGTCCTGAGTGACCTACAAAGAGACTTAGACTCCCACACATTAATAATGGGAGACTTTAACACCCCACTGTCAACATTAGACAGATCAATGAGACAGAAAGTCAACAAGGATACCCAGGAATTGAACTCAGCTCTGCACCAAGCGGACCTATTAGACATCTACAGAACTCTCCACCCCAAATCAACAGAATATACATTTTTTTCAGCACCACACCACACCTATTCCAAAATTGACCACATACTTGGAAGTAAAGCACTCCTCAGCAAATGTAAAAGAACAGAAATTATAACAAACTATCTCTCAGACCACAGTGCAATCAAACTAGAACTCAGGATTAAGAATCTCACTCAAAACCGCTCAACTACATGGAAACTGAACAACCTCCTCCTGAATGACTACTGGGTACATAACGAAATGAAGGCAGAAATAAAGATGTTCTTTGAAACCAACGAGAACAAAGACACAACATACCAGAATCTCTGGGATGCATTCAAAGCAGTGTGTAGAGGGAAATTTATAGCACTAAATGCCCACAAGAGAAAGCAGGAAAGATCCAAAATTGACACCCTAACATCACAATTAAAAGAACTAGAAAAGCAAGAGCAAACACATTCAAAAGCTAGCAGAAGGCAAGAAATAACTAAAATCAGAGCAGAACTGAAGGAAATAGAGACACAAAAAACCCTTCAAAAAATTAATGAATCCAGGAGCTGGTTTTTTGAAAGGATCAACAAAATTGATAGACTGCTAGCAAGACTAATAAAGAAAAAAAGGAGAAGAATCAAATAGATGCAATAAAAAATGATAAAGGGGATATAACCACCGATCCCACAGAAATACAAACTACCATCAGAGAATACTACAAACACCTCTACGCAAATAAACTGGAAAATCTAGAAGAAATGGATAAATTCCTGGACACATACACTCTCCCAAGACTAAACCAGGAAGAAGTTGAATCTCTGAATAGACCAATAACAGGAGCTGAAATTGTGGCAATAATCAATAGCTTACCAATCAAAAAGAGTCCAGGACCAGATGGATTCACAGCCGAATTCTACCAGAGGTACAAGGAGGAACTGGTACCATTCCTTCTGAAACTATTCCAATCAATAGAAAAAGAGGGAATCCTCCCTAACTCATTTTATAAGAACAGGATCATTCTGATACCAAAGCCGGGCAGAGACACAACAAAAAAAGAGAATTATAGACCAATATCCTTGATGAACATTGATGCAAAAATCCTCAATAAAATACTGGCAAAACGAATCCAGCAGCACATCCAAAAGCTTATCCACCATGATCAAGTGGGCTTCATCCCTGGGATGCAAGGCTGGTTCAATATACGCAAATCAATAAATGTAATCCAGCATATAAACAGAGCCAAAGACAAAAATCACATGATTATCTCAATAGATGCAGAAAAAGCCTTTGACAAAATTCAACCGCCCTTCATGCTAAAAACTCTCAATAAATTAGGTATTGATGGGACGTATTTCAAAATAATGAGAGCTATCTATGACAAACCCACAGCCAATATCATACTGAATGGGCAAAAACTGGAAGCATTCCCTTTGAAAACTGGCACAAGACAGGGATGCCCTCTCTCACCACTCCTATTCAACATAGTGTTGGAAGTTCTGGCCAGGGCAATTAGGCAGGGGAAGGAAATAAAGGGTATTCAATCAGGAAAAGAGGAAGTCAAATTGTCCCTGTTTGCAGATGACATTATTTTATATCTAGAAAACCCCATTGTCTCAGCCCAAAATCTCCTTAAGCTGATAAGCAACTTCAGCAAAGTCTCAGGATACAAAATCAATGTACAAAAATCACAAGCATTCTTATACACCAACAACAGACAAACAGAGAGCCAAATCATGAGTGAACTCCCATTCACAATTGCTCCAAAGAGAACAAAATACCTAGGAATCCAACTTACAAGGGATATGAAGGACCTCTTCAAGGAGAACTACAAACCACTGCTCAAGGAAATAAAAGAGGATACAAACAAATGGAAGAACATTCCATGCTCATGGATAAGAAGAATCAATATCATGAAAATGGCCATACTGCCCAAGGTAATTTACAGATTCAATGCCATCCCCATCAAGCTACCAATGACTTTCTTCACAGAATTGGAAAAAACTACTTTAAAGTTCATATGGAACCAAAAAAGAGCCCGCATCGCCAAGTCAATCCTAAGCCAAAAGAACAAAGCTGGAGGCATCACACTACCTGACTTCAAACTATACTACAAGGCTACAGTAAACAAAACAGCATGGTACTGGTACCAAAACAGAGATATAGATCAATGGAACAGAAAAGAGCCCTCAGAAATAACGCCGCATATCTACAACTATCTGATCTTGACAAACCTGAGAAAAACAAGCAATGGGGAAAGGATTCCCTATTTAATAAATGGTGCTGGGAAAACTGGCTAGCCATATGTAGAAAGCTGAAACTGGATCCTCCCTTACACCTTATACAAAAATTAATTCAAGATGGATTAAAGACTTAAATGTTAGACCTAAAACCATAAAAACCCTAGAAGAAAACCTAGGCATTACCATTCAGGACATAGGCATGGGCAAGGACTTCATGTCTAAAACACCAAAAGCAATGGCAACAAAAGACAAAATTGACAAATGGGATCTAATTAAACTAAAGAGCTTCTGCACAGCAAAAGAAACTACCATCAGAGTGAACAGGCAACCTATAAAATGGGAGAAAATTTTTGCAACCTACTCATCTGACAAAGGGCTAATATCCAGAATCTACAATGAACTCAAACAAATTTACAAGAAAAAAACAAACAACCCCATCAAAAAGTGGGCGAAGGAAATGAACAGACACTTCTCAAAAGAAGACATTTATGCAGCCAAAAAACACATGAAAAAATGCTCATCATCACTGGCCATCAGAGAAATGCAAATCAAAACCACAATGAGATACCATCTCACACCAGTTAGAATGGCAATCATTAAAAAGTCAGGAAACAACAGATGCTGGAGAGGATGTGGAGAAATAGGAACACTTTTACACTGTTGGTGGGACTGTAAACTAGGTCAACCATTGTGGAAGTCAGTGTGGCGATTCCTCAGGGATCTAGAACTAGAAATACCATTTGACCCAGCCATCCCATTACTGGGTATATACCCAAAGGACTATAAATCATGCTACTATAAAGACACATGCACACGTATGTTTATTGCGGCATTATTCACAATAGCAAAGACTTGGAACCAAGCCAAATGTCCAACAATGATAGACTGGATTAAGAAAATGTGGCACATATACACCATAGAATACTATGCAGCCATAAAAAATGATGAGTTCATGTCCTTTGTAGGGACATGGATGAAATTGGAAATCATCATTCTCCGTAAACTATCGCAAGAACAGGAAACCAAAAACCATGTATTCTCACTCATAGGTGGGAATTGAACAATGAGATCACATGGACACAGGAAGGGGAATATGACACTCTGGGGGCTGTTGTGGGGTGGGGGAAGGGGGGAGGGATTGCATCAGGAGATATACCTAATGCTAGATGATGAGTTAATGGGTGCAGCGCACCAGCATGGCACATGTATACATATGTAACTAACCTGCACAATGTGCACATGTACCCTAAAACTTAAAGTATAATAATTTAAAAAAAAAAAATGAAGAAAATGCTCATGGCATATAGGCATGGAAATGCCGAATTCTCCCAGGATATGCTAGCAAAGACTTTGCAAAGGAGGTGGCCTTATCTTAAAATATGAGGGTAAATTCATGAAGCAGAAGGGTAGGATAGGATACATGCTGGAGAAACAATGTGTAACTGTATAAAGGTATTGGGACATAAAAAGTAAAGGAGAATTTTGGAAATGGAAAAAAAAAACAAAATTGGAGTTCATCTTCTCAAACCCTCCTGCTGTTTTATTAATTAGGTTTATGTATTACTCCAAATACTTTGTTGTCATTCTGACAATGTTCATATCATTTTCACCAAGAGTGGATTCTATCTCAAAAAACTATTTTCTTTGATCATCCATAAAAAATAATTCCTGACCCATTCAAATTTTATCATGCAATTGAAGCAATTCACTTACATCTTCAGGCTCCACTTCTCATTATAGGTCTCTTGCTATTTCTACCACATTTACAGGTACTTCCTCTAATGAAGTATTTAACTCTTCAAAGTCATTTATGAGGTTTACAGTCAATTTCTTCCAAACTCCTGTTAATGTTGATATTTTGACCTTCTCTCATGAATCACAAATGTTTTTAATGGCATCGAGAATGGTGAATTTTTTCCAGAAGATTTTATATCTACTTTACCCAGATCAATTAGAGTCACTACCTATGACAGCTATAACTTTAAGAAATATATTTCTGAAATCATAAAACTCCTGATCTATGGCCTGCAGAATGGATGTTATGTTAGCAGGCATGAAAATGACATCACGTCCTGTACATCTTTATCAGAGCTCTTGGGTGATCAGTGTCATTGTCAGTGAGCAGTAATATTTGGAAAGGAATCCTTTATTTCTGAGCAGTAGGTCTCAACAGTGGGCTTAAAATACTCAGTAAACCATGCATCAAAGAGATGTGCTGTCATCCAAACTTTGTTTTTCTATCTATACAGCACAGGTGGAGAAGATTTAACATAATTATTAAGGACCCTAGTATTTTGAGAATGGTAAATGGGCATTGGATTCAACTTAAAGTCACCAGTTGAATTCACCCCTAGCAAGAGGGGTCAGCCTGTACTTTGAAGCTTCGAAGCCAAGCATTGATTTCTCTTCTTTAACTACCTAAGTGCTCAGTGGCATCTTCTTCCAATAGGAGGCTCTTTTGTCTGCATTGAAAATCCATTGTTTAGTTTAACCAGTTGTATCAATGTTCTTGGCTAGATCTTCTTGATAAGTTGCTGCAACTTCTCCATCAGCACTTGCTGCTTCATCTTGAAGTTTTACATTATGAAGATGGCTTATTTCCTTAAACCTCATGAACGAACTTTTGCTAGCTTCCAGAGTTTCTTGTCACATCCTCACCTCTCTCAGCCTTCATAGAATTAAAGAGCATGCGTCTCTGAATTAGGCTTTGGCTTAAGGGAATGTTGTGGCTGGTGTGATTTTCTATTTATACCACTCAAACTTCCTCCATATTGGCAATAAGGCTATTTTGCTTTCTTATCATTTATGTGTTCACTGAATTAGCACTTTTAATTTCCCTCAAGAACTTTCCCTTTGCATTCATAACTTGGTTGTTTGACACAAGAGGCCGAGCCTTTGGCCTATGTGGTCTTTAGACATGTCTGTCACACTAAGTATAATCATTTATGATTTTTGATTAAATGTGAGACATGTGGGAAAGTTCCTTTCACTTAAACACTTAGAGACCATTGTAACATTATTAATTTGCCCAATTTCAATACTGTTGTTTCTCAGAGAATAAGGAGGCCTGAGGAGAAGGAATGAGATGAAGAACAGTCATCAGAGCAGACAAAACACACACTACCTTTGTTGATTAAGTTTGCCATCTTTTATGGGTGCAGTCCAGGGTGTCCCAAACCATTACAATAACAACATCAAAGATCACTAATCACAGATCATAACAGTTAATTTTTAATAACCAAATATTACAAGGTTTGAAATATTGTGAGAGTTACCAAAATATAACACAGAGACACAAAGTGAGCACATGCCATTGGAAAAATGGTGCCAGTATACTTGTTCCTTGATGAGTTGCCACAATATTCAATTTATAAAAAATATCTGCAAAGCACAATATAATGAAGTACAATAAAAAGAGGTATAACTGAAATTACTAAGAGTCAAAATTCTGTCCTTGAGAACCTGAGTGATTATAAATTTGAAAATAAGCATTCAATTATGTTATGTTTTCTCTACTTATTAAGGCAAGGTAATGGTTACTAAATTTTAATTTAAAAATTCAATTAACTAGATGCTCCGAGCTTTCCAGTTGACAGATATTTTATTGGATGTGACTTACATAAAGTTACAAGGCATATGTAGCCATCACTGGCAGCAGTAAAAGTGAGTCACGTAGTGACCCAAACCACTGAATACTGATTTCTTGAAGGGCAGTGTAGTGAATTGATTACAATCAGGGTTTCTGGACTCAGCTGGCTAGTGGTTGTATTCTGTTTTTTCTACTTGCTGACAACAGGACTGGTGCATATAGCTTTAGTAAGCCCCAGTATTTTTATTTTGAAAGGGAGGATAACATCCCTGCTTACAAGGTTACTGTAAGAATTAAGTGCAATATTTCATGTAAACACCTAAAACAGTACCTAGTACTCAAAGCATACTCAATAAATGATAGCTTTTTCTATCTTAACAAAGTAAATCATTCCTTTATCCAACCATGTCAGGTGCTGTGTTAGATTCTGAGAACAAAAATCAAGGGCTAGATTTTTTTTCTATGATATGCTAATAATCTAGTGAATACAATAAAAAATACACACTAACTTCTGCTGTACAGTTTGTTAAGAATTTGATACTACAAAACACTGGAATAATTCTTTAAAAAGGAGTTAAATAAACCCTTTAGAGGTGGTGGTGCTTAGAGGTAAAACTTTTAATTGTTCATTTAATGATTATTTGTTAAAATCTTACTATGTGACAAAACTTGTAGTAGAGGCAAAAGATATAAAATTAATAGAGATGGTTCCCAACCTTAATAACATCTCGATATAGTAAGAGAGATTGACATACAATGACACAACTTACAATATGCCATGGTGAATGTTTTGATTAAAAAATGAGTAAAATACTGCAGGGTGTTATGCTTAACTCTGGCAAGAATGTCCAGAGATGATGTAACAGTTTAGCTGTGTATAGAACTATAAGCAGGAATGTGCCTCAAAGGGAGGAAAGACTTCAAGGCAAAAGAAACAATGCCTGAAAAAGAACCATCCAAAAAAGGTTTATACAGAGGCAGATCTACCATGTAGCAGATGAAGCATAAGTTTCAGAACCTACAACTTAGATATGCATCTTCCATTTCTCCATGTGTTATTCTCCAAGGCAGTAGAAATAAACAGAAAAACAGGAGACCTGCTCCTGGTGGCAGTGCTGATACTGTAGGTGGGCTGACAGGCTTCCATTAGTACTTCTATCTATGTCTGGTTCCATCAGCAGCCTGCCCCCATTGTACCACAACAATCATCCCAACCCTACCTTAGATTTCAACAAAACAATAACATGCTGCTGTGCATCATCATGGGGCCACTACCATCTAGCTTATGGCAAACTGGTCCCTCAGATTCCCAGGATCGTGATGGTGGAACAGTATGAGAGTGGCAGGTGGTGCTGAGGCAAGCAAAGATCTCTCTGTGCTCTGCTGGACATAGGGAGAGAGAATGACTGGAGTTCTTTGTAGGCTTGTTGCTGAGCCAGAAATGCATTTGAGTAGAACCAAAAAGAAAATTACAGATGAATACTACCAAAAATTGAGTCTTGAAACTGAAAAAAATCCTTCTACTCTGTCAACAAGAAACAAACCTAGATTAACAACGCCAGAGGAAATTCAGAATAACATTGTTATTCTACAGAAAGTATTAAACATAATTGCACATGAGAAAAATGATAAAAAAATTTTACAGTCTTAAAATTTAGATAAATAGGTATTAAAAAGGTTTGTCAGGACATTAGTTAATTAAAAATGTTAATTTTCTGGATTGATTTTTATAGTTGTGGTGTTTGTTAGCTATAAAAAATTTATAATTTATCATAATTATGTGTTTATAATTTTATTTTCATAACAAGAATCCCTCACTTTACACAAACAACTGGACTCACAAAAACTAGATTCCTTCCCGATTCGCGGCAACTCAGTGTGAAGCAAGGTGACTGGCATTATTTTGCTAACAGCTAGAAATCAAAGGTGACTTATAATCCTTTGGGCACATACCCAGTAATGGAATTGCTGGGTCAAATGGTATTTCTAGTTCTAGATCCTTGAAGAATTGCCACACTGTCTTCCACAATAGTTGAACTAATTTACATTCCCACCAACAGTGTAAAAGTTTCCCTATTTCTCCACATCCTCTCCAGCACCAGTTGTTTCCTGACTTTTTAATGATCACCATTCTAACTGGCGTGAGATGGTATTTCATCGTGGCTTTGATTTTCATTTCTCTAATAACTAGTGATGATGAGCATTTTTACATACGTCTGTTGGCTGCATAAATGTCTTCTTTTGAGAATAGTCTGCTCATATCCTTTGCCCACTTTTTGATGGGATTGTTTTTTTTTTTTTTCTTGTAAATTTCTTTAAGTTCTTTGTAGATTCAGGATATTAGCCCTTTGTCAGATGGGTAGGTTGCAAAAATTTTCTCCCATTCTGTAGGTTGCCTGTTCACTCTGATAATAGTTTATTTTGCTGTGCAGAAGCTCTTTAGTTTAATTAGATCCCATTTGTCAATTTTGGCTTTTGTTGCCATTGCTTTTGGTGTCTTAGACATGAAGTCTTTGCCCATGCCTGTGTCCTTAATGGTATTGCCCAGGTTTTCTTCTAGGAATTTTATGGTCCTAGGCCTTACATTTACATCTTTAATCCATCTTGAGTTGATTTTGTATAAGATGTAAGGAAGGGGTCCAGTTTCAGTTTTCTGCATATGGCTAGCCAGTTTTCCCAACACCATTTATTAAGTAGGGAATCTTTTCCCCGTTGCTTGTTTGTGTCAGATTTGTCAAAGATCAGATGGTTGTAGATGTGTGGTGTTATTTCTGAGGGCTCTGTTCTGTTCCATTGGTCTATTTATCTGTTTTGGTACCAGTACCATGCTGTTTTGGTTACTGTAGCCTTGTAGTATAGTTTGAAGTCAGGTGGCGTGATGCCTCCAGCTTTGTTCTTCTTGCCCAGGATTGTCTTGGCTATGCAGGCTCTTTTTTGGTTCCATATGAAGTTTAAAGTAGTTTTTCCCAATTCTGTGAAGAAAGTCATTGGTAGCTTGATGGGGATAGCATTGAATCTATAATTTACTTTGGGCAGTGTGACCATTTTCACAATGTTGATTCTTCCTATCCATGAGCATGGAATGTTTTTCCATTTGTTTGTGTCCTCTCTTATTTCCTTGAGCAGTGGAACAATGAGAACACATGGACATAGGGAGGGGGACATCACACACTGGGGTCTGTCGGGTGGTGGGGGGCTAGGTAGGGGAGGGATAACATTAGGAGAAATACCTAATGTAGGTGATGGGTTGATGGGTTCAGCAAACCACCATGGCACGACCACCATGGCATGTGTATACCTATGTAACAAAACTGCACGTTCTGCACATGTACCCCAGAATTTAAAGAAAAAAAAAACCCATGAAGCAAAAAAAGAAAAAAAAGAAAAAAAGAAAATGCCAGTATGTGCAATAAGTAGGTTATTTAAATTAAAGTATCTTGAGGTGCTGACATGGCCTTTTTTTCAAGTTTCCCGAATGATTTTTATGTACAACCAGGATCAGAATCCCCACTGACCTACGTTATAGTAAATGTTAAGTTACATAAACTTAGTCTTAATCTTGCTTTCAGTCTTTCCATCCATAAAATTGGTACAATGGTAGCTTTGTATGGAAAAGTTTGAAGACTTTAATGCAGTGGTGGGTGTAAAATTGTTTAGCACATTGTCACATAGCAAATAGTGAATAAATAATAGGTATCATCATCGTTCATAGAAAAAAAAAAGAAATCAAAGGTGAATTCTTTCCCCCTGGTAATTTCCTCCTTTTCTCCATGGGATTTCTAATCAAAAGAGCTGAATAAAAGACAACAGAGAAATGTATATGTGTACAAACTCATACACACAGAAACACACATGTATAGACATAACCTTTTTTTTTTTTTTTTTTTTTTTGAGATGGTGTCTTTGTCTGTCACCCAAGCTGGAGTACAGTGGTGTGGTCTTGGCTCACTGCAACATTTATCTCCCAGGTTCAAGTGATTCTCTTGCCTCAGCCTCCTGAGTAGCTGGGATTACAGGGGTGTGCCATCATGCCCTGCTAATTTTTGTATTTTTAGTAGAAACGGGGTTTCACCATGTTGGCTAGGCTGGTCTCAAAATCCTGACCTCAAGTTATCTGCCTTCTTCGGCCTCCCAAAGTGCTGGGATTACAAGCATGAGCCACCACACCCAGCCTAGGTATAACTCATTTTATTGTGCTTCATGGATATTGGATTTTTTCACACATTGAAGGTTTGTGGCAACTCAGTGTGAAGTAAGGCGATTGGCATTATTTTGCTAACAGCATGTGCTCACATTATGTCTCTGTGTCATGTTATGGTAATTCTCACAATACTTCAAACTTTTTAATTATTATTACATCTGCTATGGTGATCTTTTATCAGTGACTTTTGATGTTATTATTGTTATTGTTTTGGGACACCCCAAACAACACCCATAAAAGACAGCAAACTTAATCAATAAATGTTGCGTGTGTTCTGCCTCCTCCTCCCACCAGCAGTTTCTTGTCTCTCTCTCTCTTCAGGCCTCATTATTGCCCGAGACACAACAATATTAAAATTAGGCCAATTAATAACTCCACAATGGCCTCTTAAATGAAAGAAAGAGTCTTATATCTCTCCCTTAAAATCAAGAGCTAGAAGTGATTAAGTGAGGAAGGCATGATGAACTGAGATAGGTCAAAAGCTAGGCCTCTTGCACCAAACATTAAGCCAAATTGTGAATGCAAAGGGAAAGTTCCTGAAGGAAATTAAAAGTACTGCTCCAGTGAACAAACAATGACAAGAAAACAAAACAGTCTTATTACTTTTATGTGGAGAAAGTTTGAGTGGTCTGAATAGATCAAACTAGCCACAACATTCCTTTAAGCCAAAACATAATCCAAAGAAAGGCCCTAACTCTTCAACTCTATGAAGGCTGAGAGAAGTGAGGAAGTGACAGGAGAAAAATTGGAAGCTAACAGAGGTTAGTTCATGAGGTTTGAGGAAAAAAGGCATCTCCATAATGTAAAACTGCAAGGTGACGCAGCAAGTGCTAATAGAGAAGCTGCAGCAGTTATCAAGATGATCTAGCTAAGAACATTGATGAAGCTGGCTAAACCAAATTACAAATTTTCAATGCAGACAAAAGAGCCTTCTATTGGAAAAATATGCCACCTAGGACTCTCAGAGCTAGAGAAGACAAACTATTGCCCAATTCAGACCTTCAAAGTACAGGCTGATCCTCTTGTTAGGGGTGAACTTAGCTGGTGACTTTAAGTTGAGGCCAATGTTCATTTGCCATTCCCAAAATGGTAGGATCCTTGAGAATTATGTTACATATTCCCTGCCTGTGTTTTAGAAATGAAACAACAAAGCTTGGATGATGGCACGTCTGCTTGCAACATGATTTACTGAATATTTTAAGCACACTGTTGAGACCTACTGCTCAGAACAAAGGATTCCTTTCCAAATATGACTGCTCATTGACGTATGTCTTGTCACCCAAGATCTCTGATGAAGATGTACAAGGAGATGAATGTTATTTCCATGCCTGCTAACACAACATCCATTCTGCAGCCCATGAATCAAGGAGTAATGCTGACTTTTCAGAAATACATTTCTTAAAGCTATAGCTGTCATAGGTAATTATTCATCTAATCAATCTGGGCAAAGTACATTGAAAACCTTCTGAAAAAATTCACCACTCTAGCCATTAAAAATATTTGTGATTCATGGGTGGAGGTCAAAATATCAACATTAGGCCAGGCATGGTGGCTCATGCCTGTAATCCCAGCACTTTAGGAGGCCAAGGCAGGTGAATTGCTTGAACTCAGGAGTTCAAGAACAGCCTGGGAAAAATAGTGAAACCCTGTGTCTACCAAAAATATTTAAAAAATTAGCCAAGTGTGGTGGCGCACATTTGTAGTCCCAGCTACTTGGGAGTCTCAGGTGAAAAAATTGCTTGAGCTCAGGGGGTGGAGGTTGCAATGAGCCAAGATCATGCAACTCTACTCCAGCCTGAGCAACAGAGTGAGGACTCATCTCAAAAAAAGAGAAAAATCAGTATTAAGGGGAGTTTGCAACAAATTGATTCCAACCGTTATGAACTGGGGAAGTCAAGACTACAGTGGAGGAACTGACTGCAGATTTATTGGACATAGCAAAAAAAAAAACTAGAATTAGAAACAGAGCCTGAAGATGTGACTGAAATGCTTCACTCTCATGATAAAACTTGAACAGAGAGAGTTGCTTCTTATTCATAAGCAAGGAAAGTGGTTTCTTGAGTTGGAATGTACTCATGTTGAAGATGCTGTGAACATTGTTGAAATGACAAGAAAGAATTTAGAATATTACATAAACTAGTTGATAAAGCAGTAGCAGAATTTGAGACAATTGACCCCAGTGTTGAAAGAAGTTCTACTTTGGCTAAAATACTATCAAACAGCAGTATGTGCTACAGAGAAACCTTTAGTGAAATGAAGAGTCAATCAATGCAGCAAACTTTACTGTTGTCTTAAAAAAATTGTCACAGCCACCCCAGCCTTCACCTACCACCACCCTAATCAGTTAGCAGCCATCAACATGGAGGCGAGACCCTCTGCTAGTATAATGGTTACAATTCACTTAAGTCTCCGATGATTGTTAGCATTTTTTTTAGCAATGAAGTATTTTTAATTCAAGTATGTACATTGGTTTTTTATACGTAATCCCATTGTACACTTAATTGAATACCATATGGTGTAAATATAACTTTTACATGCACTGCGAACCCAAAAAATTTGCCTGATTTGCTTCATTGTGATATTCACTTTATTGCAGTGTTCTAGAACCAAACTCTCAATATCTCCAAGGTAAGCTTGTATTGTTCCACACATGGTTACAGGAAAACATATTTGGATATCAGAAAACTGGTGACAGAATTAGATGCACTCAGAAGAAATGATCTAAGATGCCAAAGATTCTAAAAATTGTAACACACAAAAAGCTGCTCAAAAAGCTCTACTCACCCTCGGTATGAGAAAACTTGGGTCATTGATTAAGTTAAACATAAAATGTTAGCATCATCGGTCCACTGAACACTGCTCTTTTAGGTCTCACTTGCTCACTTACACACTCACTGCTTCATTTCATTGCCTTTTTCTCATTCTCCATTTCATGTCCTTCCCACCAAGGCAGCATTTTAATGTATTTGTCTATTTCTTAAAAAGTGTTCTATATACCCAAAGGATTATAAATCATGCTGCTATAAAGACACATGCACACGTATGTTTATTGCGGCACTATTCAGAATAGCAAAGACTTGGAACCAACCCAAATGTCCAACAATGATAGACTAGATTAAGAAAATGTGGCACATATAAACCATGGAATACCATGCAGCCATAAAAAATGATGAGTTCATGTCCTTTGTAGGGACAGGGATGAAGCTGGAAACCATCATTCTCAGCAAACTATCGCAAGGACAAAAAACCAAACACCGCATGTTCTCACTCATAGGTGGGAATTGAACAATGAGAACACATGGACACAGGAAGGGGAACATCACACACTGGGGACTGTTGTGGGGTGGGGGAAGGGGGGAGGGATAGCATTAGGAGATGTACCTAATGCTAAATGATGAGTTAATGGGTGCAGCACACCAACATGGAACATGTATACATATGTAACAAACCAGCACATTGTGCACATGTACCCTAAAACTTGAAGTATAATAATAATAAAAAAAAGAAAAAAAATCCTATTAATACATATTGATTTCCTTTAAGTAAAGACTTTAATTCCCAGTGGAAAAAAAAAGTATTCTTTTCAAGAAAATATTGGTGTTTTGTCCTTACATATTTTAAATTCACATAAAAGGGCCAGCCACAGTGGCTCATGCCTGTAATCCCAGCACTTTGGGAGGCCAAGGTAGGCAGATCACCTGAACACAGGAGTTCGAGAGCAGCCTGGCCAACATGGCGAAACCTCGTCTCTACTAAAAATAAAAAAATTAGCTGGGCATGGTGGCACGCACCTGTAATCCCAACTACTTGGGAGGCTGAGACAGGAGACTTGCTTGAACCCAGGAGGCGGAGGTTGCAGTGAGCTGAGATTGCGCCACTGCACTCCCGCCTGGGCAACAGAGTGAAGAAAAAAATGCACATAAAAGTTATTTTATTAAATAGTTCATTCTTTTCACTCAGCACTGTGCCTTTGTCATCTATCTACATTACTCTGTGTGCCAATCTGCTGTTTGTAACACTTGCATGGTTCGTCATAACGTTCATTCATTGTATTTTACCTCTCCATTCTCCATGTTGTAAGCCTCTGTATTTCTCTGTAATTCTCTGCATTTCCTCCAACTCTCTGCAGACACAAATAACCTGGAGTGAACATCCTTTTTTCTACCTCTAATGGATCTATGTAAGAATTTTGGGGGGACATAAATGAAAGTGAGTGATGGTCTTCAAAGAGTGCTTAAAGAGCCCTCATGTTTGTTTTTGACTCACTAATGAGTCAAAACAAAATAAAATAAAATCTATAATATTTAGAACAGTACATGTTATACAGTGGTGCTCAGTAATACATTTAATTTTGTTTCCAGTCTGCTTAATATCTAATGTTTGCTGAATGGATGAATTAATGAATAAATAAATACAAAATAAATGAACATCCTGGCCTTGATGATATGGGAAGGGTAGAGAAGGGTGGGGTCCCTGCCAAGGGCTCCACCCTCGGGCTTGTGCCCTTGGACCTAAGTGAGAACAGGCACTCCTGTTTTTGTGCCCAAATGTTACATGTTTCAAGACCACTCTGGCCTGCCACACCCCCCATCCTGTGCCCATATAAACCCGAGAGAACTTAGCAGGCACACACACAAGTGACTAGATGTCGAGAGGAGCAGAAGAGCAGACACCAGCAGATGCCGGCAGGCCACCAACAGTGGGACAATGTGGAATTCAGTCGAGGGCAATCAGAGGAGAGTCTGGATACTGGGTGGCCCAACTCCAGAAGAAGACCACTTTTCCACTCTGTCCCCCTTCTGTCTCCCCATCCACCTCACTGAAAGCAACTTCCACCACTCAATAAAACCTTGCACCTATCCTCCAAGCCCAGGTGTGATCTGATTTTTTCTAGTACACTAGGGCAACAACTCAGGACACAGAAAGCCCCCTGCCCTTGCAATAAGGCAGAGGGTCTAATTGAGCTGGTTAGCACAAGCTGCCTGTAGATGGCATAACTGAAAGAGTACACCGTAATGTTACGGGTGGGTCTGTGTTCTTAGAGCTCCCAAGATGGTGGTGGGCCGCTCCCAACATGGTGGCAGCCGCTCCCAAGATGGCAGCAAGCCTTTTGTTCTCTGACCTGGGGTTCCTGGCCTCACAGATTCCAAGGAATGAAACCTTGGGCCTATGTGGTGAGTGTTACAGCTTGATTAGAAGCCATGGGTCACAGAAGAGAACCGTAGAACCCAGCAACTAGTGTTCAGCTTGATTAGGATGAACCCGGGCACTTAGCTGTGCAGGAACAATGGCGAGCCTTTAGCCCAACTGGGAGTGGCAGTGGGCGCCTCGCTGGATCAGGAGTGCAGCAGACACCCAGCCGGATCCAGAGGGGTGGAAGTCAGTGGCAGGTGTGCGATGGCGGCCAACAGCAGTGGTGGACGGTGAGCAAAAGCTCAGCTCGAGCTGTAACAAACATGGACCAGAAGAGTGTGCAGTTACAAGATTTAATAGAGTGAAAACAGAGTTCCCATACAATGGGAGGGGACCCAAAGGCGGCTTCCCCCAAAGGGGGTTGCCACTCCCAGCTCGAATGCCTGGGGTTTATATCCCAATTATTGTCCCTCCCCCTGTGCGTTCAGATGATACATGATTTGACTATTTCTTTACCTCCTGCTTTTAGCCTAATTTGTATTTTAGTGAGCCCTCTTTACTACCTGATTGGTCGGGTGTGAGCTGAGTTACAAGCCCCATGTTTAAAGGTGGGTGCGGTCACCTTCCCCAGCTAGGCTTAGGAATTCTTAGTCGGCCTAGGAAGCCCAGCTAGTCCTGTCTCAGTAACATACGCCCACCTGAGGCTTTGGGAGCTGCAAACACTCAACTCCAAATGCTGCTGTGGGGTTGGAGCCCAAAAAATGCTCCCCACGACCTGCCCATCGGCATACTCCCCCTAGGAGGTTGAGCAGTGGGGCACCAAAGAAGCGAGCCACACTCTTGTTGCACGCCCTTTGATAGGGATAAGGGAACTCCTCCCGTTTCAACTGGGGCCTCCCCTGGGATATGGAAAAATGACTGCAAATGCAAAACTGTAGGATCTGCTTCTTTTCCAAAACCCTGCCACCTCTCTCTCTTTCCTGCAGGTTAAAAAAAAAAAAAAAAAAGCTCTGTTTCCCTTTACAGAGGCTTAACCACCCTAAGTGGGTTGGTCAAAACCCCTAGACTTCATATCTTTTCTCTCTCTCTCTCATGGTTTGAAATGGCTCTTATCTCTTCCTTTATAATGTTAAGAGTTTTGCTACAGGCTGCACAATGTTACTAAGTAAAACAAGCATATGGCTCAGCCACCAAAGGTGCAATCAGAGCAATTGTTCTTAGAAGTACCATCTCTACCTCCACCCTGACAGCCAGAGGCACATGGTTCGGGGTACCTTCCCTTGCCCTCTCTCCTCCCAGCACAGGTATCTGGGTATGTCCATAGCATGCAAAAGTCATGCCCAACAGCCACAAGGGATGGGAAAGAAAACTGTAGTTACCACCGGGACCCCACAAGCCTGACAGGTGGGTCCTTCTTGCCCACAGTGCCAACAAAACTTTTCTCCACTGGCCAAGGAATCAACCTGGTTTGAATAGAGGGAAGGATACAAAGATTAAAGAGATCCACTTGCACTAAGCAAAGGGTTCGTCTCCCAGGACCTCCCCCTTTTGCCCTTTTGTTTTTCTCTTTTTTCTTTTCTAAGTGAGAGGGCTCCCCCTCCCCAGCAATCTGATTCTGATAGGAAAGTTAATGAAACAACTCCTGCTGGCTGATAGCTGCAAATTCAGCAGGGCTCATTTGAGACACTCTAAACAGATAAAACAGGCCCTGAAATACTTTTTCAGTCCCAAGCTTGATTCCAAGCTTCGGGCTGAGTCCCTAGAAAGGAAACCCAGGTATGAGGGATCCAAAGCTAGGCAATAGGCAGAGTGTAAATGGGCAGGACCAATTCTTGCTGACTGAATCCCCACCCCATGGAAAGAGTTCATGCTCCATGGCATAAACAGGCCCATGGAACTCAAAGATTGTCAAAGCAGGGGGAGATGGAGACATAGGTCAGGGCAGTTAATGCCTATTCTCTAGGGTTTCCTTCTTCATGAATATATACCGCATTGGTACCTATGGCCAGCACCTGCCAAGGTCGCCAGGACTCAGGGATAAAAGGATGGCAGGGGAAAGGAGGACGCTCATGTTCTTTCTCCATCACACTCTGAGTTTTCGCTGAAAGAAGGAAGGGAAGTGAGGGATGCTTTTATTCCCTGTCTTTCAGAATGAGCAACAAGCTCTCTTCACCACTCCCAGTTTGTACTCCTCAGGAGTTTATCCTGAACAATTGAGACTGCTTTGACCCTCAGAATCTGGAGGAAAAATGTCTCACAGCCCTCTGCACGAAGGTTTGGCCACATTATGATTTACAGCAAGAACTGGCTTGGTCTCAGGAAGGAAGCATTCATTTCAATACCATCCAGTAGTTGGAACTTTTCTGTAGACATGAGGACAGATGGCCTGAGACCCCATATGTGCAGACTTTCTATACCTTGTAAGGCAATCCAGACCTTTGCTGATGGTGTAGAATTGATCCAGCCCTCCTGTTTGCCATCTCAGGGAAGACTGCAAGGGGCAAGCCCAGGGAATTAAAGATACAAGTCCCAGAGGCACACCTGGCAGAGGAACCAGCTCCCTCCAGCCCTGCTTCTCTGGGTCTACCATGACCTCCCTATTCAGCTTCAGCCTCTCACTTGCATCCTATAGAAATCATCCTAAACAAGCCCCAGTCTCACTCTTGCCCTTGCAACAGATGCCCAGTGAATTTGGGCCTAGTAAGGTCCAAGTTTCCTTCTCCCCACAAAACTTAAAGCAAATTAAGAGGGATCTTTGCAAGTTTTCAGATGACCCTGATAGATATATAGAGGCTTTCCAGAATTTCACCCAAATATTTGAACTCTCCTGGAGAGATGTTATGTTACTTTTGAATCAGACCCTGACAGACACTTAAAAGCAGCAGAGAGATTTGGGGATAAACTTTACATCACATGTAGTTTCAGGGAAGGGGCAAATATTATCCAACTGGAAGAGAAGCAGTACCAGTGAATGACCCTAAATGGGATCCCAGTGACAAGATGGAAGACTGGAAGAGTAGACACTTTGAGGTGGTATAGGGAAGGCTTACATAGAACTAGGACCAAGTCTCTCAATTATACTAACTTGTCTGTGATTGATGAGGGATTTGATGAAAATCCTACTGCCTTCCTGGAAAAGCTAAGACAGGCCTTGATAAAGCATACCTAGCTAGCTCCTGAGTCAGTAAAAGGACAACTAATCCTAAAGGATAAACATTACTCAGGAAGCCCCTGATATCAGGAGGAAGTTGCAGAAATGGGCTCTGGGGCCAGACGGTACATCAGAGGACCGCCTGAAAGTGGCCACCTTAGTCTTTTACAATAGAGAAAGGGAGGCACAAGAAAGAGGCAGAAGTATTAATGGCCCACAAACTCCAGAATTCCCAGGGTACATCAGTTAACTGCTAAAGATATGGCAAGAACAGTTATCTCTCTTCAAAACTTTAATCACTCCCCTACAAGGTTTAATTTTTTTCAACAGGGCGAAACAGCTCGGGGTAAAATGTTGTTAGTATATTTCACTTCTTATCTCTGTGATCCTTGGCACTAAATTCTTTCCTTGTATAATACACATGTTTAATCCATGCATACTTAACCTGACTGTCATTTTCCCCAAAACAACCCCCTGTGTCAGCAGAAAGTAGCTAAGACCAGTCGTCATCCATATTCTAATGGCAGTTAGATGTACCTCTTCAGAGACGGGAAATGATACGAGAGGGGCCAGGAAAGTGCTGGGTAGAGAAGGGCAGGGTCCTTGGCTAGGGCTCCACCCTCAGGCTTGTGCCCACAGACCTAAGTGAGAACAGGAACTCCTGTATTCATGCCCAAATGTTGCATTTTCCAAGACCACTCTGGCCGGCCACGCCCCCATCCTGTGGCCATATGAACCCAAGAGAACTTAGTGGCACACACACACAAGCAGCTGGACATCAAGAGGAGCAGAGGAGCAGAAGAGCACATCAACAGACACCAGCAGGTGCCAGCAGGCCATCGATATGGAATTCGGTAGGGATGGTCAAGGAGAGTCCGACCACTGGGCGGCCCAATTCCAGGAGAAGACCATCTTCCCACTCCATCGCCCTTCTGGTTCCGCATCCACCTCACTATAGCAAATTCCACCACTAAATAAAATCTTGCACGTATCCTCCAAGCCCACCTGTGATCCGATTTTTCTGGTACATTAGGGCACGAACTCGGGATACACAAAGCCCTCTGCCCTGGCAATAAGGCACAAGGTCCAATTGAGCTGATTAGCACAAGCTGCCTGCAGTTGACAAAACTGAAAGAGCACAGTGTAACACATGCCCACTGGGGCTTTGGGAGCTGAAAACACTCAACCCTAGACGCTGCTGTGGGGTCAGAGCCAAAAACACTCCCCACAGCCTGCCCATCTGCATGCTCCTCTAGGGGTTTCAGCAGCGGGGCACCAAAGAAGTGAGCCATACCCCTGTCACACTTTGTGACCTGTGAAGGGGATAAAAGAACTGTGAAGGGGATAAAAGAACTCCTCCCAGTGTATTGAGAGCTGGCATTCCAGCAGTAAGAAATAGAAAATAAACAAATAAATATATATATATAAGTGATAAAAACTATAAAGGAAAACAGGGAAGAATATTTTTCCAAGATGGTGGATTGGAAGCATTGCTAACATGCCTCTTCCACTTGGAAAGACAAAATACCGTTTAGAGACTCATGCTGTGAACTTTTATTCAAGAAGCAACACAAGAACATCACAGAAAAACTGAAATCACAGAGCCTTTGAAAGAATCAGTAGGCTGCAGCCTACACTGTGAGCCAGGAGGAAAACTGTGAGTCTCCAGAGTATCAGAAGAGGAGAGACTGACTCTGGGATACACATTTCTACTGAGGAATCTGGCAATCCAGGCCATGGTGGAAGGCCTTAACCCTACCCAGCACTGGAGCTGACTTAGTGAGCAGTGGGAGTATATGAGGAGTGGCATCAGAATGTATATTACATACACTGTCAGAATTGAGTGAGGATGAAGGGAAGCCATTCCTGATTCTACCTCACAGGGAACCTTGTAGAAGTTGGCCACCTAATTCAGGCAGTGGACATAGGTTGAGAGAAGCTCCTAACTGAGATATGCAATATAGTCTTCAGTGGGGATGAACTCCTCTGGCCAGAAATGAGGGACAAAGGGAAAGTGTACATACAGGCACAGAAGCTGGGTACCCTTGCTATGTGGGCACACAGAGAGGAATGTGGCCTGCAACTGTGGTTTCTGTCCTGGTGAGAAAGGCTTATAGTCTGGGGCAGTTTTGAACTCTGAATGCAACTGCCTGGAACCTAGCTAGCTACTGCTAGCGGAACACTATGGGTGTGAGATCTTCCCTCCCAAGTACATGGGAGCTGGGTGGTGCTTAACTGCTGCCTGCTACTCCCCATTCTCCATGCAGATTTTTCTGTACAGCAAAGGAAGCTGTGCTCCTCCTGGAACATTACCACAGTGGCCAGAAAACTTCCCTCTGATTCCCATTGCAGCCCCTGCTTGCATCCAAACATAATAGAGACCAGAGCACAGACTTGTCTGGCCCAGCCTCTACCTGGCTTTGCCCATCCATTCACCTTGATAGCTTAACACAAAGGACAGAAACTTTTGGGAACTCCATGTCCCTGTCCATTGCCTGAGACACGAGAGTACCTCCCCTGGGAAACATAAGGAAAGCACAAATCCCACCAGTACCAATGCAGCTGATGCTCTTTTGCAAGTGCCACTTTCTGACTGGAGGTCAACTGACACAGCACATTACAGCATCTGCAGGCAGAATAACACAGCATCCAAGAAGAAAAAAACATTTTTGTGACTTCAGCTCTTACCATTGCCTGCATCACCCTGGCTAACCAGGAGGTCTTGAGTCTGTCCATGTGATCAGTTCAGTACTACTACAACTGGCATTTGAGAAGGCCAACACACTAAGGTTATTTATAACCAAGGAAATTTCAGAGTCTGTGTCACCACTCCTGCACCATCCCCATCAGAGCTGGTGCTGGTGCCTGCTGCTGAGAGACATGAGGACAGGTCACATCACCGAATCCCTTGCAGATATTCCCTAGCACCACCCTTGAGTGTGGCAGTCCCACTGGATGGCTAGACCCAGAGGAGCAGCAAGATTCAAAGTAGTCTGGCCTTCAGGGGGCTCCTACTCCTAGGGGATGAAGGAGTGCACCGCATCAAGGGAGCACCCTGAGAGATGAAAGAATTCATATGGCAGGTTTTGAGTCTCAGAACTTTCTGTTTGTGGGAAGTTTCTTTCAGCAGAGACACAGGTTCAGTGCTAGGCTCAGTAGGGAAAGTCTGCAGCTCTACCCCAACAGTCAGGTAGCCCTCATACTTGTGAAAGGTATTAAAGAAAGGGACTTCTTCCCATCAGCCACTACTGCAGACAAAGCTGAGGCTTCTCCTATGGGAGCTCAGCATGGATGCACCTGTAAACAGCCTTTCTGGAACACTTCATGGTGGCTGCATTCCCACAGGACGAGTGCCTTCCAGGTTCAGGCTTGCACAAGGGGTAGAATGAAAACAGCGAGTGAATCCTACACTGCAACTGAGTATCAAATAGATACAATAAAAAATGATAAAGAGGATACTACCACTGAGCCAGTAGAAAAACAACCATCAGAGAATACTATAAATACCTCTATGCAAATAAACTAGAAAATCTAGAAGAAATTGATAAATTCCTGGAAACATACATCCTCCCAAAAGTGAATCAGAAAGAAATTGAATCCCTGAATAGACTAATAACAAGTTCTGAAATTCAGGCAGTAATAAATTGCCTACCAGCCAAAAAAAAGCTGGATTTATAGCTGAATTCTACCAGAGGTGCAAGGAGAAGCTGGTATCATTTTTTTCCTATTCCAAACAATTAAAAAGGAGGGACTCCTCCTTAACTCATTTTATGAGGCCAGCATCATCCTGATACCAAAACCTGGCAGAGATACAACAAATAAAGAAAACTTCAGGCCAATATCCCTGATGAACATTGAAGTGAAAATCCTCAATAAAATACTGGCAAACTGAATCCAGCAGCACATCAGAAACTTATCCATGATTGAGTGAGCTTCATCCCCAAGATGCAAGGCTGGTTCAACATATGCAAATCAATAAACATAATTCATCACATAAACAGAAATAAAGACAAAAACCACATGATTATCTCAATAGATGCAGAAAAGGCCTTAGAAAAAATTTGACATTCCTTCATGTTAAAAACTCTCAATAAACTAGGTGGGTACTGATGGAACATACCTCAAAATAATAAGAACTATTTATGACAAGCCTGCAGCCAATGTCATACTGAATGGGCAAAAGATGGAAGCATTCTCCTCTCCTTGAAACTGGCACAAGACAAGGATGCCCCCTCACCACTCCTATTCAACATAGTACTGGAAGTTCTGGCCAAGGCTATCGGTCAAGAGAAAGACATATAGTGTATTCAAAAAGGAAGAGAGGATCTCAAACAGCCTCTGTTTGCTGATGACATGATCCTGTATCTAGAAAACCCCATCATCTCAGCCCCAAAGCTTCTTGAGCTGATAAACAACTTCAGCAATGTCTCAGAACACAAAATCAATGCACAAAAATCACAAGCATTCCTATACACCAACAATAGACAAGCAGAGAGACAAATCATGAATGAACTCCCATTCACAATTGCCACAACGAGAATAAAATATTTAAGAATACAGCTATCAAGGGAAGTGAAGGACATCTTCAAGAGAACTACAAATCATTGCTCAGGGAAATCAGAAAGAAATAAACAAATGGAAAAAACATTCCATGCTCATGGATGGGAAGAATCAATACAGTGAAAATGGCCATACTGCCCAAAGTAATTTATAGATTCAATGCTATTCCCATTAAACTAGCACTGATGTTCTTCACAGAATTAGAAAAGACTATTTTAAAATTCATATGGAAACAAAAAAGAGCCTGTATAGCCAAGATAATCCTAAACAAAAAGAACAAAATTGGAGGCATCATGCTACCTGACTTCAAACTGTACTTCAAGGCTACAGTAATCAAAACAGCATAGTACTGGTACCAAAACAGACACATAGACCAATGGAAGAAAATAGAGAACTCAGAAATAAGATCACACATCTACAACCATCTATCTTCGACAAACTTCTCAAAAACAAGTAATGGGGAACCTATTTAATAAATGGTGCTAGAAGAACTGGCTACCCATATGCAGAAAATTGAAACTGAAACCTTTCCTTACACCTTACACAAAAAATAACTCAAAATGGATTAGAGATTTAAATGTAAAACCCAAAACTATAAAACCCTAGAAGAAAATCTAGGCAATACCACTCAGGACATAGGCATGGGCAAGTATTTCATCATGAAAATGTCAAAAGCTATTGCAGCAAAAGCAATAATTAACTAATAGGATATAATTAAACTAAAGAGCAACTGTACAGCAAAATAAGTGAACAGACAACCTACAGAATAGAAGAAATTTTTTGCAATCTATTTGTCTGACTAAGGTCTAATATCCAGAATCTGTGAGGAACTTAAACACATTTACCAGAAAGAACACATACAATCCCATTAAAAAGTAGGCAAATAACATGAACAGTCACTTCTCAAAAGAAGACATTATACGGCCAACAAACATGTAAGAAGAAGTTCAACATAACTGATCATTAGAGAAATGCAAATCAAAACCATAATGAGACACCATCTCACACCAGTCAGAATGGTGATTATTAAAAGGTCAAGAAACAACAGACGCTGGTGAAGCTGTGGAGAAATAAGAAGACTTTTACATTGTTGGGGTGGGAATGTAAATGAGTTCAACCATTGTGGAAAACAGTGGTGATTCCTCAAAGACCTAGAACCAGAAATACCATTTGACCCACAAATCCCATTACTGGGTAATACCCAAAGGAATATAAAATAGTTCTACCATAAAAACACATACATGTGTATGTTCAATGCAGCACTATTCACAGTAATGAAGACATGGAGTCAACCCAAATGCCCATCAATGATAGACTGGATTTAAAAATGTAGTATATATACACCATGGAATACTATGCAGCCATAAAAAGGAACAAGATCATGTATTTTTCAAGGACATGGATCAAACTGGAACCCATTATCCTCAGCAAACTAACACAGAAACAGAAAACCAAATTCTGCATGTTCTCACTTATAAGTGGGAGCTGAACAATGAGAACACATGGACACAGGGAGGGGAATAACACACACTGGAGCCTGGCAGGAGGAGGGAGAGCATTAGGATAAATGGTTAATGCATGCAGGGCTTAATACCTAAGTGATAGGCTGATAGGTGTAGCAAACCACCATGGCTCACATTTACCTATGTAATAAGCCAACACACCCTGCACATGTATCCCAGACCTTAAATAAAATAAATTGAAACCACATCAAATATCTTCTTACACCATGGTAGAATAAAACAAGAAATTAATTCCAAAAATAACTTTCAAAACTGTACAAATAATAGAAATTAAGCAATCTGTTTCTAAATGATTTTGGGGTTAACAATCAAATCAAATGGAAATTTTAAAAATCTTTGAAATGAATGATAAAAGTGACACAAGTTATCAAAACCTCTTGGATACAACAAAAACAGTGCTACAAGGAAAATTTATAGTGCTAAATACCTACATCAAAAATTCTGGGCCAGGTGTGGTGGTTCATGCCTGTAATCTTAACATTTTGAGAGGCCAAGGTGAGTAGATCACTTGAGCCCAAGAGTTTGAGATTAGCCTGGGCAACTGGTGAAACCCTGTCTCTATGAAAAGTACAGAAATTAACTGGGAATGTTGATGCATGCATGTAGCCGTAGCTACTTGGCAGGCTGAGGTGGGAGAATTGCTTGACCCCAGGAGGTTGGGAATGCAGTGAGCCATGATTATGCCACTGCACTCCAGCCTGGGAGATAAAGTGACACCCTGTCTCAAAATAAAATAAATGTCTGAAAGATCACAATTTGACAATCTAACATCACACTTCAAGGAATTACAGAAACAAGAACAAAGCAAACCAAACCAAAGCTAGCAGAGGAAGAAGAATAACAAAGATCAGAGCAGATCTAAATAAAATTGAAACCAAAAAAATACAAAGGATGCATAAAATGAAATGTTCATCATTTGAAAAGCTAAACAAAATCAATAGACCATTAGCTAGATTCACCAAAAAAGGAGGTAGAAGATTCAAATAAGCTCAATAATAATTGAAAATGAAAACATTACAACCAACACCACAGGAATACAAAAGATCACTTGAGACTGCTGTGAACACCTCTATGCACACAAACTAGAAAATGTAAAAGAAATTGATAAATTTCTGGAAACATGTAATTTTCCTAACTTGAATGAGAAATAAATAGAAATTCTGAACAAACCAATAACAAGCAGTAAGATTGAATCAGAAATAAAAAATTTGCCAACAACTACAGAAAAGCCCAGAGCCAGGCAGATTCACCGCTGAATTCTACCAGATGTTCAAAGAAGAATTGGTATCAATTCTACTCAAATTATTCCAAAAGATTGAGAAAGAGGGAATCCTCCCTAACTTATTCTATGGATCCAGTGTCACCCTGATACCAAAACCAGTCAAGGACATAACAGAAAAAGAAAACTGCAGACCAATATCCCTGATGAAAATAGGTGCAAAAATTCTCAACAAAATACTAGCAAAGTAATCCAATAGCATATCAAAAAATATTTACCATTATCAAGTGGTTTTAATCCCAGGGATGCAGGGATGATTCAACAGACACAAGTCAATAAATGTGATTCATCACATAAACAGAATTAAAAACAAAAGCCATGGGATCATCTCAATAGATGCAGAAAGGGCATTTGATAAATTTCATCTTTGCTTTGTGATAAAAACTCTCAACAAACTAGGCATAGAAGGAACATACTTTAAAATAATAAAAGCCCTAACAAACCCACAGCCAACATAATACAGAATGGGAAAAAGTTGAAAGCATTCCCCCTTAGAACTGGAACAAGACAAGGATGCCCATTTCCACCATTTCTATTCTACATATTACTGAAGTTCTAGCCCAACCAATCAGGCAAGAGAAAGAAATAAAGAGCATACAGATTGGAAAAGAGAAGGTTAAACTATCTCTGTTTGGCAATAACATGATGGTATGCCTAGAAAACCCTAAAGACTCCTCCAAAGGAATCCTACATTTGATAAATGAATTCAATAAAGTCTCATGTTACAAAATCAATGTACACAAATCAGTAGCAGCACTATACACCAACACCAACCAAGCTGAGAATCAAATCAGGAACTCAAATCCTTTTACAATAGCTGGAGAAAAAAACAACTAGGAATATACTTTTTAACCAAGAAAGTGAAAGATCTCTACAAGAACTACAAAACACTTCTGAAAGAAAACGTGGATGACACAAATGGAAGCACATTCCATAATCACGAATTTGAAGAATCCATATGAAAATGACCATGCTGTCCAAAGAAATCTACAGATTTCAATGCAATTCCTATCAAAATATCAACATCATTTTTCACTGAGTTAGAAAAAAAAATCCTAACATTCATTTGTAACAGAAAAAAAAAAAAAACCTCAATAGCCAAAGCAATCCTAATCAAAAAGAACGAATCTGGGCGAGGCACACTGGCTCATGCCTGTAATCCCAGCACTTTGAGAGGCAGAGGCAGGCAGATCACATGAGGTCAGGAGTTTGAACCCCTGGTCAACATGGTGAAACCCCATCTCTACTAAAATTACAAAAATTAGCCAGCTGGTGGGCACCTGTAATGTCAGATACTCAGGAGGCTGAGCCTGGAGAATCAGTTGAACCCAGAAGGTGGAGACTGCAGTGAGCCAAGATTGTGCCACTGCACTCCAACCCAGGGAACAGAGTGAGACTCTGACTCAAAAACAAAAACAAAACAAAACAAATGAACAAACAATAAAACAAATCTGGAGGAGTCAAACATTGGTTGACTTCAAATAATACTACAAGCCTATAGCAACCAAAATAGTATGGTAGTGGCATAAAAGTAGACACATAGGCCAATGTAACAGAATTGAGAACCCAGAAATAAAGCCAAATACTTATAATCAAGTTATCTTTGACAAAACATATAAAAACATAAATTTGTAGAGGAATGAAACTGGATCTCTGTCTCTCACCACATACAAATATCAACTCCAGATGGATTAGAGACTTAAATCTAAGACCTGAAACTATAAAAATTCTGTAAAATAAAACCTAGAAAAAATTCTTCTGGACATTTGCCTAGGCAAAGAATTTATGACTATGACCACAAAAGCAAATACAACAAAACAAAAAAATAAACCGATGGGACTTAAGTAAACTAAAAAGCTTCTGTACAGCCAAAGAAAGAACCATCAGAGTACACAGACAACCCACAGAAAGGGAGGAAATATTTGAAAACTATGCAACTGACAAAGGACTAATATCCAGAATCTATGAGGAACTCAAACAAATCAGCAAGAAAAAACAATAATCCCATTAAAAAGTGAACAAATGACATGAATAGACGTTTCTCAAAAGAAGATATGCAAATGGCCAACAAACATGTGAAAAAAAGTTCTACACCACTAATCATCAGGCAAATGCAAATTAAAACCGTAATGTGGTAACACCTTACCCCAGCCAGAATAGTCATTATTAAAAAGTCAAAAAACAATAAACATTGGTGTGGATGTGGTAAAAATGTATGCTTTTATACATTACTGGTAGGAATGTAAATTACTAAAAACTCTATGAAAAACAGAATGGAAATTTCTCAAAGAACAAAAAGTATATCTATCATTTGATCCAGCAATTCTGCTACTTGGTATACACCCAAAGGAAAAGAAGTCATAATATCAAAAAGACACCTGCACGTGTATGTTTATTGCAGGACGATTCACAGTTGCAAAGACATGGAACCAACTTAACTGCCCAACAACCAATGAGTGGATACAGAAAATGTGGTGTGTATATATATATATATACACACACACATAATATATATATACACACACGTATATATGTAGATATATATATAAATATATATGCATATGTACATATATGGATACATATACATATATACACACACATATATGTGTGCACGTGTATACATATATACATATATATATATATATATATATATATGCACCATGGAATACTACTCAGCCATAAAAATAAATGAAATAATGTCTTTTGCAGTAACTCGTATGGAACCAGAGGCCATTATTCTAAGTGAAGGAACTCAAGAATGAAAAACCAAATGCCACAGGATCTCACTTATAAGTGGAAGCTAAGCAATGGGTACACAAAGGCATACGTAGTGGTCTAATGGACATTAGAAACTTAAAAGGGAGGAGGGTGGGAGGAGGATGAGGGATTAAAAACTACATATTGGGTACTATTTACCTATTCAGATGACAGGATACTAAAATTTCAGATTTCATCATCCATGTAACTAAAAACCATGTGTACTCCTAAAGCCATGGAAATATAAATAAATAAATAAATAGGAAGAATATGGAGAAAGAGAGAGATAGAAAGCCTACTTTAAATGTGAGGTAATGAAAGGCCTACTTGTTGAGATGATATTTGATCAGCAACTGGAATAAAGTGAGAAAGGGAGCAAGGTAGGTGTCCAGGGCAAAGGCTTTTCAGACCAGGGGAGGAGCAATGAAATGCAAATGCAAAGGCCTGAGAAGGCAGTACTGTTGGTATGTTTAAGAAACAGCTCAGAGGCCCAGCACAGTGAAGACAGATTAGAAAAAACAAGGGGGAGAATAGTAGGAAACAGACCACACAGGGAACTGTAAACCATGTTAAAGACTTTAGGTTTTTATCTGTATGACAGGAAGCCATAGGAATGTTTAAAAAGAGAAGTCATATTATCCAATGGGTTTGTAAAGAATCACTGTAATTGCTGTGTGGAGAATAGATTGTAAGGGAGGTTTATAGTCAAATCAAGGAGATGAGTTGGATGCTAGAGCTATTTTCCCAGTAAGAAACGTTTGCATAAGGAGTAATGGTAGAGGAGGTAGGAAGCAAATGCATTCTGGATATACTTTGAAGATAAAGCTGTGTTGGAATTGATGTGAGACATAACAGAAATAATTAAATTGAGGATGGCTCCAAAATGTTGGCCTAAGTTGCAGGTAAGGAGAAATGTCACTTACTGTCATGGGGAAGAAGCATAAGTAGCAAGTTTGAGGTGGGAGTTATATCAGAAATTTGATTTGGAATAAGTTAAGTAGGCAGTTAGACATATGCATTAGATATATCAGTACCAGGGAAAAAGTCTTGCCTTGGAGTTAATGGTGTCTTCCACTAACTGTAGGGGATACATTCCAAGACTCCCAGTGGATGCCCAAAACCACAGACAGTACCAAACCCTGTATGTATGTTTTTTTTCCTATGCATGCATAACTATGATAAAGTTTAATTTATAAATTAGGCACAGTAAAAGATTAACAGCAATAACTAATAATAAAATAGAACAATTATAACAATATGCTGTAATAAAGGTTATATGAATGTGCTCTGTCTCTCAAAATATCTTATCATGCTATACAGTGATTAATTGAAACCATGGAACTTGAAAGCACAGATAGAGGGTACTACATGTATACATGTGAGAGCCATTCTTATATATAGTTTTTAATTTCTGGGACCAAATGAGATCACCTATGATGTAAGTATAGACAGAATTGATTAAAGTGCCCTGGAGCACTCTAAGGTTTCAGAGATTGCAAAGATGGAGGATTTAGCAAATGAGACCCAAACTTCAGTACCTCAAAATGTGATTATATTTAGAGATAGGGTCTTTAAAGAGGTGATTATGTTAAAATGAGGTAATTAGGCTACATCCTCATTCAATCTGACTAATGTCCTTATGCAAGGAGGAAATATGGACACAAACAAGTACAAAGGGAAATATCACATGAAGACACAGGAAGGCAGCCCTCTACAAGCCAAGGAGAGAAGCCTCAGAAGAAACCAACCCTGCCAATGCCATGATCTCAGACTTCTAACCTCTAGAATAGTGAGAAAATAAATTAATGCTGTTTAAGCCACCCAGTTTGTGGTACTTTGTTGTTTCAACTCTAGGAAACTAATAAAATTGCCCATTGTATTTGGCTATGTGGTGGTCACTGGTGATCTTGAAATGAGCAATGTCAGTAGACAAACGGGCACTAAAGCCTGAGCAGGGTTTATAACACCGGAGAGAAGATGGCATAATTACGGTGCCAAAGATAAGTTTTCAAAGGAGATAGATTGTATTTCAGCATTTGATGGCATTGCTAAGTGCCCAGCTATTGAATGGGCTGCGTGGAGGGGTAGTGATTCTGTTGAATCAAGAGCAGAGTCTGGAAAATTTGTTGTGTCATTAATTCATTTTTTATCCTGAAATTCAGATTTTCTTACTGGGACCATTATGAAAGGAAATTAACCTAACTAGTCAAATTCCCATTATTTGTCTTTTTATTCAACAAGAGTAAAGACTGTGAGGAGATTCTGTTTTCTCAAATGTTCTGATTAGTCGGGCTCTGATTAATTACCTTACATGGAAAGAGGGAAGAATTTCAAAGGCCTCTTATGCGTCATTGAGGTAACTTCATCTTGGCTGATTTTCAGGTTTGAAAAGGTTAATTCCTAATTCTCTTTATGCTCTCCATATGTCAGAGTTTCATTATGTCAAAACAGAAGCTTGCTGCTATATAAAATTTTTTAAACATGGCTTAAGAGCGTAGTATATGCTGGTGGATCAAGTAATAATTTAGAATCAGAACAACTCTTAGTTGGTTTGTTCATTCTATTAAGCCACATTTGTTGGCACCAAATTCCTTAGAAGCAGGTAAGGGGATCTGAGTTACGCCTGTTTTACTCCCCAGGGTTCAATTATGTGATATGCCAAGAATGTCCCCCGGGTTGTAGAATGATGCTTTTCACTTCCACCATTAACCTCTTTCAGAGGATTTTTTGAGTCAATCAAAGAAGAATGCTCTCTTTCTCTTGGTGGAGTCCAACTCAAATATCACACTGCTCTGCTCCTGGCCAAAGGTATGGTAATAAAGAAAATGGTAACAACTCAAAAATTTTAAATAGCACATCACATTTGCAGAGCACTTTCACAAATATTATATGGGAAAGTGTGGGCTGTCTGGGTACCCAGAGTAAAGAACTGAGGTCTGAAATTAGGAAATATTTCAAACTTGCCTAGCATTAAATTTCCTTCCTTTGTAGCTCAGGAGAGTGCTTTTATAGCTCACTAGTAGGAATGCATTTCTCTACCTATAGATAATGCCATTCGGTGTCATCACACATTCCCTCTTATCTTATAGCATTTTACAGTCCTTTCATGATTAGGGTATAGCCTGAGAGTCTGAGCTGGGGCTCTTAGGATTTAATGTACTCTTGGTGGTTTGTTGGGGTGAGTTTCTATAGATATAAGCAATATTCTTGGTAGGTAAGGGTCAGTGGTGCTCACTTCCATGCAAGGAAGTTTAAATGCTGATTGGCCCATGATCTAAAGGCTTGCAATTCACTGGAAGAGGCCCTGGAGCTCTGAACTGGGAATGCAGGTAGAACATGAAGGCAAGTTCCTCTACATCTGCTAATAAACCCTAACCCCAAACTGACTCCACTGTTTTGTTCTAGAATGTGTTACTATGGTGTCGGTAAAAGGCTAAACTGAGAGGGTCTGGTGAATATTGTTGCAATTTGAAGGGTCCCAGAGGACCTTTAACTTATGTCAATAGTTATCACAGTTGACTTCTTGAGGCTGAACTTGAGATATTTCACCAGCTGTTTGAATGATTTATGGCCTCCATAAAATCTACTTAATGTTAAAGCTTGACTGGTCTCTGGAATCTCACGGAGGTCACAGTTATAAGAAGGACAGGAGTAGGGATGATCATATGCCTTTAAAACCTCATCTTATTCCATAGAAGAAGTTATTGCTCAAAACAAGAACTGTCATCACTATCTTTGCCAATCCTTCTGTGAGTTTCTGTGAAACTGTCTACTTTCCCTGACAGTGTGGCACAGGTGACGTGAACACAGAGCACAATGAGTTAAAAGCACTTTTCTCAGTGTTGTCTTCATGATGCGCATGGAAGGATGTTCAAAGCAGAGCTTTGGAGACAGAAGCCTAGATTCCAATCCATCTCCTCTAGTTACCACCTGAATAATTTATCTATTTATAAAATATTTATTTAAACAAAGCCTCAGTTCTTCTAACTTCAAATTGAGGACAATGATGAGACAAAATATTTGTAGAATATTGTAGAGAAGTGATTAATACATAATTGACACTTAATGCTAGTTGTTTCCTTATTCTTTCTCTATTTAGAAGAACATTCTGTAAAAATCTACTGAGAGAGAATAGCTACAGATTCCCCTAAACTGAGAGGAGCAAAGAAAAATTGGTTATAATAAATTTCATACTCAGAGAGTCTTTTGTGGGAAGTAAACTTAAACATTATCCGCAGATTTTCTGAGAGTGAAATTTGTTATAATCAATGTTTTTGCCCCTTTCAGTCTTTCTGGAATATGTAGCTATTCTTTCTCTTAGTGGATTTCCACAAAAAGTTATCTAAATAATATAAATACAACTATTACTGGGATGTTGATTTTTTTCAAGTCTACCATTTGAAATAATGCTCTCAACAAAAGCCAGACCCCAAAACACTTGAAGAAAGAACTGACATGAATGTTGCCCAGTGAAAATCAGGTGTATTCTAGAACACCTGCTCTAAGTTCATACTTCATATTGCCTACCTACTGTGTCTGACGTGAGATGATAAAATAGTGGTAAAGATTTGACTTTTAGGTGCTATACAACAGTTTATACAGCTCTTTTTACTTGTTTATTTTTTCACAAAATAGTCTTAAGAAACCTCTAAAGTAGTCAAGGCAAATAATATCACTATTCTCATTTTAGATTAATAATACCAACTCAGAAAGTCAAAGTATCCAGCCATGTGTAAGTATTGGAACCAGGACCCAAATTCAGGTACAGCTGATATTCAAGCTTAATCTTTTTTCCACTTACTGAGTTGCCTTAGAGTCAGTTAAATCCCCTAAGGGTTTTTTTCTCACATGAATCACCGTTAAGTTAGGTTTCCGACACTGAGAATTCGTGCAGGAAAATTCTAAACCCAAGTGTAAAATATAATGTGTATCCCTTCTAAATTTCGTCCTGATAATTTTGAACATCACTGCAGTCTAGGAATATCTTTGATTTTTGTGTCCAAAGTATTTTTTATCCTTCTTAGCTTTTTTTATCTACAGATTTGACAAGCATGTCTGTTATGCCTTCATCCAGTCATTGAAAGTGCTATCCCAAAGTAAAGATATGTGAAAAAAAATCCTCCAGCACATCCCTTAAGAAACACTTCATGTTTGACACCATCTATTCATCAACATGGAGTATAAATTAGTAGTTAAGTTATAGGTTCCAGAGTCAAGGGAAACAAATTTTATTCCTGGGCCTTCTACCTATGGCAAGACATTGAGGGAGTAACTTCAACTTATCTAAATACTAATGTCTTTTACCTGCATAATGGAAATAAAAAGAAGATATGCTCATTTGAAAAATAAATAAAATGATGTTATAGATGACAGCATCATGACTAGCACATAATCAACTTTTTAAATACAATGGCTGGTGATATTTTTACACGTAGCCTAGTTTTGAGTTCAGGTTACCATGCTATTTCATAATATGTATTTCATCTGGAAGGTTTGATAAAACTGGAAACCTATCACTCAATCACCTTCAAAGATGGACTTGCTGCCCAGCCACAAGGGGAGCAGTCAGTAGACTGCAGATACCTCCAACTTTCAACTCCTCCAGGGTTTGCCTCAGCTGCAAAGCCACCTTGCCATGGTCATGCCCTTCCAGGACAGCCTACATGAAGTGACTGGACGTTGGAGATTATTTAGGTCTAGCCATTTTGGTTCAATGTGGGATAATTTAACAAGCAATACTTTTTCCAGAGCTTCTGATGTTAGAAGTCCTGCATTACAGTTTGGCCTCTCCCTCTACCCAGTCTTGCTTTCTCTCTCTTTCACATATGTTGATCCCTACATCTTTTTGAGGTCTTTTTTGTTTGTTTGTTTGTTTGTTTATCGAGACAGAGTCTTACTCTGTGGCCCAGACAGGAATGCAGTGGCACATTCACAGCTCACTGTAGCCTCAACCTCCGTCCAGGGATACAACCTCTCTCACCTCAGCTTCTGAGTAGCTGGCACTACAGGTGCCTGGCTACCATGTTCAGCTAATTTTTATAGTTTTTGTAGAGATGGGGGTCTCACCATGTTGCCCAGGCTCATGTCAAACTCCTGGACTGAGGCAATCCTCCCAACTTGGCCTTCCAAAATGCTTAGATTACAGGCTTGAGCCACTGTGCCCAGCCAACCCTTTCATCTTGCACCTCAAATTCTGTGTCAGCATCTGCTTCTGGGGCTTCTGTGGGGCCATCCTGTGACAGAAAATATTGTTGAATGTGTAGCTGAAATTAAGTTATATTGAATCTGCTCTATCTGTTCTGTTTCCCATATCAAATAAAGAAGTAAATGAATAACCAAAGAAAATTAGTTTTGTTTAACTTGATTTGTACTAAAACATCCCTTTCTCTTACTTAGAGTTAACACTTCTTTTTCCAGGAACCAGCAGTGCAATTGTTGAATGTTTCTTATAACCTTCCCTCTTCCATTCCATTCCCCTCTGCCTGCCCAGGTTTAGACCTTCATCCTTGTATTAGTTTGGTAGGGCTGCCAGAACACAATATTACAGATGGAGGGGTGGGGAGAGGAGCTTAAACAACAGAAATTTATTTCCTCACAGTTCTGGAGGCTGGAAGTTCGAGAGCAAGGTATTTGCAGAGTTGTTATTATTCTGAGTCTAAGTCCTCCCCCCTTGGCTATTCAATGGCTATCTTCTCCCTATATTTCACATGGTGTTCCCTCTGTGCATGTCTGTGTCCTAATTTCCTCTCCTTATAAAGACACACATCATGTTGAATTAGGGCTCACTCATATGACCTCATTTTACCTTAATTAACACTTTTGAAGCCCTATCTACAAATATAGTCACATTCTGAGGTACTGGAGGTTAGAACTTCAACATATGAATTGGGGGGGAGACATAACTCACCTCTAATAGTTCTATATTTTAGGCAGCCTCAAAGATGGCCTCAATGCCCCCTGCCTACTGGCATTCATATCTTTGTGTTATCTCCTCCTCTTAAAATGTGGGCGGGACCTGGTAAATAGCTTCTAATAAAAATAATATGGCAAAATTGATAAAAGATCACTTTCAAGATTAGCTTACAAAAAATAAGCTTCCTCTCTGGATACCCTCTCTTGCTCTGAGGAAAGTTAGCAGCCATGTTGTGAGTCACTCTATGGAGAAAGTCACATGGCAAGGAACAGAGGCCACCAAGGACCTGAGGCCTATGAACAGCCCTGCAAATGAAATTGGAAGTGGATCCTCCCTAAGTCTTGCAATGATTGCAGCCCAGGCCAACAACCTGATTTCAGTCTCATTAAAGATCTTGAGACAGAAGCACCTGGCTTAATCATACCAGGATTCCTGACCCATGGAAACTGTGAGATAATAAATATTTATTGTTGCCTAAATGCCTCACTTAAAATATACAGAATTGCAGAATGGATAAGAATTCACCAACCAAGTATCTGCTGCTTCAAGAGACTTACTTAACGCGTAAGGACTCACATAAACTTAAGGTAAAGGGGTGGAAAAAGACATTCCATGCAAATGGACACCAAAGGTGAAAGGAGTAGCTGTTCTTATATCAGACAAAACAAACCTTAAAGAAACAGAAGTTAAAAAAGACAAAGAGGGACATTATATATAATGATAAAAAGACCTTGTCTAACAGTAAAATATCACACTGCTAAATATATATGCACCTAACACTGGAGGTCCCACATTTATAAAATAATTACTGCTAGACCTAAGAAATGAGATAGACAGCAACACAATAATAGTGGGGGACTTCAATACTCCACTGACAGCACAGGACAGGTCGTCAAAAAAGAAAGTCAGCAAAGAAACAATGGATTTAAACCATACCCTTGAACAAATTGACTTAACAGATATTTACAGAACATTCTACCCAACAACCACAGAATATACATTATATTCATCAGTGTATGGAACTTTCTCCAAGACAGATCATATGACAGACCACAAAACAAGTCTCAATAAATTCAAGAAAATTGAGATTATATAAGTGCTCTCTCAGACCACAGTGGAATAAAATTGGAAATCAACTCCAAAGGGAACCTTCAAAACCATGCAAATACATGGAAATTAAATACCATGATCCTGAATGATCACTGGGTCAACAATGAAATCAAAATGAAAATTGAAAAATTTTTTGAAGTGAATAATAACAGTGGCACAACCTATCAAAGCCTCCAGGACACAGCAAAGGTGGTGCTAAGAGGATAGTTCATAGCCTCAAATGCCTTCATTGAAAAGTCTGAAAGAGCACAAATACACAATATAAGGTCACACCTCAAGGAATAATGGAAACAAGAACAGACCAAATCAAAATCCAGCAGAAGAAAGAAAATAACCAAGATCAGAGGAGAACTAAATGAAATTGAAACAAAAAAACTGTAAAAGATAAGTGAAATAAAAATCTGGTTATCTGAAAAAATAAATAAAATTGATGGAGCATTAGCATGACTAACCAAGAAAAGAAGAGAGAAGATCCAAATAAGCTCAATTAGAAATAAAATGGGAGATATTGCAACTGACACCACAGAAATACAATAAAATATTCAAGGCTACTATGAACACCTTTACATTCATAAACTAGAAAACCTAGAAGAGATTAATAGATTCCTGGAAAGATACAGTCCTCCTAGCTTAAATCAGGAAGAATTAGAAATCCTGAACAGACCAATAACAAGCAGTGAGATTGAAATGGTAATAAAAAAAAAACCAACAAAAAAATAGCCTAGGACTAGATGGATTCACAGTTGAATTCTATCAGACATTCAAAGAAGAATCGGTACCAATCCTATTGACACTATTCCACAAGATAAAGAAAGAGGAAATCCTCCCTAAGTCGTTCTATGAAGTCAATATCTACCTAATATCAAAACCAGGAAAGGACATAACAAAAAAAGAAAACTACAGGCCAATATCCCTGATGAATATAGATGAAAAAATCCTTAACAAAATACTAACTAACAAAATCTAGCAGTGTATCAAAAAGATAATCCATCATGATCAAGTGGGTTTCATACCAGGGATACAGGGATGGTTTAACATATGCAAGTCAATAAATGTAATACACCACATAAACAGAATGAAAAACAAAAATCACATGGTCATTTCAATAGATGCAGAAAAAGCATTTGACAAAATCCAGCATCTCTTTATAATTAAAAACCTCAGCAAAATCAGTATACAAGGAACATACCTCAGTGTAATAAAAGCCATCAATGACAAACCCACAGCCAACATAATACTGAACTACTGAACAAGGAAAAGTTGAAAGCATTCTCTCTGAGAAATGGAACAAGACAAGGATGCCCACTCTCACTACTTCTTTTCAACAGAGTACTGGAAGCCCTAGCCAGAGCAATCAGACAAGAGAAAGAAATAAAGGGCAATCAGACAAGAGAAAGAAATAACGTTTGACTTCCTCTTTACTGAAGAAAAGAGGAAGAAAAGAATCATCGCTGTTTGCTGATGATATGATGGTATAACCAGAAAACTCTAAAGACTTCTCCAAAAAGCTCCTAGAACTGATAAATGAATACAGCAAAATTAATGTACATAAAATTAATATACACAAATCAGTAGCTCTGCTATATACCAACAGTGACCAAGCTGAGAATCAAATCAAGAACTCAACCCCTTTTACAATGGCTGCAAAAATAACACAAATTAAAATATTTAGGAATATACCTAACCAAGGAGGTGAAAGACCTTTATAGGGAAAACTACAAAACACTGCTGAAAGAAATCATAGACAACACAAACAAAGGGAAACACATCTCATGCTCATGGATGGGATGATCAAATCAATATTGTAAAAATGACTATACTGCCAAAAGCAATCTACAAATTCAATGCAATTCCCATCAAAATACCACCATCATTCTTTACAGAACTAGAAAAAAAATCCTAAAATTCATATGGAACTAAAAAAGAGCTCACATAGCTAAAGCAACACTAAGCAAAAAGAACAAATCTGGAGGCATCACATTACCGGATTTCAAACTATACTATAAGACCATAGTCACTAAAACAGCATGGTACTTGTATAAAAATAGGCACATAGACCAATGAAACAGAAGAGAACCCAGAAATAAAGCCAAATACTTACAGCCAACTGATCTTTGACAAAGCAAACAAAAACATAAAGTAGGGAAAGGGCACCCTATTCAACAAATGGTGCTGAGATAACTGGTAAGCCACAAGTAAGAGATTAAAACTGGATTCTCATCTCTCACCTTATACAAAAATCAACTCAGGATGTATGAAAGACTTAAATCTAAGACCTGAAACTATAAACATTCTAGAAGATAACGTCAGAAAAACCCTTCCAGACATCGACTTTGGCAAAGATTTCATGACCAAGATCCAAAAAACAAATACAACAAAACAAAGATAAATTGATGGGACTTAATTAATCTGATGAGCTTCTGCACAGCAAAAGGAACAGTCAGCAGAGTAAACAGATAACCCAGAGAGGAAGAAAATCTCCACAATCTATATATCCAACAAAGTACTAATATTCAGAATCTATAAGGAACTCAAATTAGCAAGAAAAAAAACAAACAATTCCATCAAAAAATAGGCTAAGTTCATGAATAGACAATTCTCAAAAGAGGATATACAAATGGCCAACAAACACATGAAAAAAATGCTCAACATCACTAATGATCAGGGAGATGCAAATCAAAACCACGATGCAATACCACCTTACTCCTGCAAGAACAGCCATAATCAAAAAATCAAAAAATAATAGATATTGGCCTGGATGCAGTGAAAAGGGAACACTTTTACACTGCTGGTGGGAATGTAAACTAGTACAACCACTATGGAAAACAATGTGGAGATTCCTTAAGGAACTAAAAGTAGAACTATCATTTGATCCAGCAATCCTACTACTGGGTATCTAGAGAAAAAGAAGTCATTATACGAAAAAGATACTTGCACATGCATGTTCATAGCAGCACAGTTTGCAATTGCAAAAATATGGAACCAGCCCAAAGGCCCATTAGGAAACTGTAATATATATGTTTATATATACACGCAATGGAATACTACTCAGCCATAAAAAGTAATGAATTAATGGCATTTGCAGGAACCTGGATGGGATTGAAGGCTATTATTCTAAGTGAAGTTACTCAGGAATGGAAAACCAAATATTGTATCTTCTCACTTATAAGTGGGAGCTAAGCTATGAGGATGCAAAGTCGTAAGAATGATACAATGGACCTAGGGGACATGGGCGGAAAGGGTGGGAACATACTGAGGGATAAAAGGCTACAAATTAGGTTCAGTGTATACTTCTTGGGTGATGGGTGCACCAAAATCTCACAAATCACCACTAAAAAACTTATTCATGTAACCAAATACACCTGTTTTCCACAAACCTATGGAAATAAAAAAATAAAGCTTTGCTGTTTCAAACCACTAAATTTTGAACTGGTCTGTTGTCCAGCAATGGATTGCTAACATATTATCTCTCATCTCTTACCCACATAACCACAAGAGCCTTCTAACTCATCACTGTGCCCATAGACTCTCCCTAGTACATGTTTTATACAGTATTAGAAGTATTTCAGCACAGGTCAAATTGTGTTTTTCCCAAAATTAAACATTATATACCAATTCCTACTTGTTTATTAAATAAAACACAGGCTACATATGGCTTTTCAAAATCTGATCTCAATCTATTTTTACAGTAGTATCTTCCCTTATGTCATTTACAAACCCTACTATTTTCAAGCCAGAGCCAAACAACTTCTCATATTTTCTATTTTATGCTGTCTTCTCAATTGGAGATATGGATATTCATCTTTACCTCCTATCAAATTTCTTCTCTTTCAAGGGAAATTTCAAATGCCACATATTTGACAAATGAACACCAATGAACTCCCATGACAATGAATCTCCCCTCTTCTCTGTGCTTCTCCAATGCATTCATTGTATCTCCAATGTCTATTTTAATTGGCCTTTCATTATAGGCTAGGATTTCTATAAGTGTTTCTCTACGTGAAGGTACTCCCTAATGAGACAAATTCTATCTTACTCTTCTATCTTCGTATTCCCAATAGTGTATCTTACTCATGGTAGATGCTCACCAGTAAGTTTATCCAATTAATCCTAAAATTATTTTGGAAATAGATTTGTGTACTCTTTTCTCTCTGGAGTAAAGTGTTACAACATCCCACAGTTCACTCATTTTATATTTACATAGGAGATCCTTGTCGCCCTACTAAGCATAAGATTTATTTCTCTATCCTACTTAGCCTAGGAGTTAAGAAAGGCCAAGTGGAAACAGAAGAGAAGTGTAGATTGAAAAGGTAGAAGAAAGATCACAGGAAATAAAGAAAGATTTTTCTCATCTAATTTCTTTCCAGGAAAGAAATAAAATTAAAGGGAGTTTAATGTAACGTAGACTTGAGTACAAATACCAGGGTTGAGCCTTTTAACTTCAGTTTCTTCAACTGATAAATATAATAATGATAATAACAATAATAATAATAGTATCTTCCATGTAAATTTTTGAGGATGAAATAACACAACCTGTTTGACATTTCATAATGATGTGTTTTTTCACTTCACTTCTCTGCATGGTCCTGCAACTTCATTTCACTTCCAATTGTTTAAAATCCTGTTCAATAACAACCAAAGGAGTTTAAGAAATAGGTAATAAATAAGTGAGAGGAAAAGAAAGATTGTAAGGGAAAGTGGAAAGAAGACAGAGGTTAGAGAAAGAGAAAAGAGAAAAATATGAGGAAATATGAAGTATGGACAGATTTTTAGAGTTACTTATTGATTTTACATCTTTTACAGCATGCCATAAAGACTCTTCAGAAATATGGAGAATTATCCCAGATATAACTACTCATAGTGAATTTGTGCTAGCGAAGTAAGTAAACCAGCATCAAATCTTTTTACGGCCTATTGCAGTTTCAAGAAACACACTGTAACTATTTTTTTCAAAAAAATCTGGAGTGGTGGATTTAATCTGCCAGCTAATTTCCTTGATTTCATGGAGCCTTAAATCAATGCAGTACACATCACATTGCCCAGATGCTTCACCGTAATTTTCAAGAAAATATCCCAAGCTTTATACTTTAAGGGGCTCCCAGATAAATATTCCAAGTGCATCTTCCCCTACAAAGGCAGATTGAGCTTGGTGCCCTGAAGCTGTGCAGTTCTCAAGAGAGCAAATCATCAGTATTTTGGTGCCTAGTTTGAGGAATATGAAGTGATAAATGACTATAGGTATAGCTTCAGGCTCCCCAAGCCACCCTATTCTATCTTCTCTGGTGTATGTCACACTACACTATTGAATTATTGCTCTTTTTTTTTTCACTGTGACATCAGAATTTTTTCACCATAAAATAGACTATTCTGTTTAAATGGCACATTCCACTCTAAAAATGGAAACCTCAGAGAAATATGCTATTTGAAGAATCATAAAATTGACATTTTTAAAAACCTCATTTCTCCTGCCACAAGCACAAAATCTTCAAGATGATCATGGGAAAAATATTCTTTCTCATAAATGAAATAGCATACTTACCTTTTTTTATGGATGAGAAGCTTAAACAACTTATACCCCAGAAACGTATATTACATGGAGAACATCAGAAAGGAGCTATAAATTCCAGTGCTAAACCCATTGTATTTCATTAAGAGACATCATAGATTGGGGATATCTTATCTGTAAAAGATCAACAGCAGTCAGGCAGTTTTCTCAGCACCTACATCTTGTTGACACCGCCTAAACTCCTAACAACAAGAGGGCCAGTCTGAGACAGACCAGTCAGAGGAGAGCCAATGAATTCTGAGGTCCAAGAAGAAACTCATTTAATGCATGACTGAAAGACTGTCCTAAAACAGACAAAAGAAGAGCACTGACGTAACACAAGAAACTAACAGCCTTCCCAGAATAAGCAATTATTTCTTTTGGTCCTCTATATTCTAGCCATACTCCCAAGGAACTTGGTCAAGTTTTCTGAACTTAGGTTGTTAATAATTTATATACCTAATCCATATCTTTGTCTTTTAGAATAAAAATGCAAATTTTACAATAGGTCTGATACTCAAGGATATGTACAACAGGTGTATGCCTATTACTAAAATGTTGAAATACATTTTTTTCTTTTTTCTTTCGATCTGTCTTTTTTTTTTTTTTTGAGACAGAGTCTCATTCTGTCACCAAGGCTGGAGTGCAGTGTCTCTATCTTAGCTCACTGTAACCTCCGCCTCCCAGGTTCAAGCGATTCTCATACGTCAGCCTCCTGAGTAGCTGGGATTACAGGTGTGCACCACCACACCCGGCTTATTTTTAGTAGAGACAGGGTTTCACCATATTGGCCAGGCTGCTCTCGAACTCCTGACCTCAAGTGTTCCACCCACCTCGGCCTCCCAAAGTGCTGGGATTACAGGCGTGAGCCACTGCGCCCAGCCTGAAATACTTTTGTATGGCTTAATAATGATCTCCTGAGCTGCAAGAGTGTCCCCATCACCATTGTGGCCACTGTGGCCTCATCCCCAAAAGCCTCTGAATTTTCCCATATGCCAGCACCTGAAGGGCTACTGCCTGGCATCACAGTGGGATGTGCCCCACAACACTGTTTCAGCACCTTATGACTGATGTTCTTTCTGATTGGTTCTTGGCTTTTATAGCTACGCATATTAAATAGTAGCCATGTTTAAAGGATCCCAAAAGATAATGGAAATGAATTAAGTGGGTAAGGGTAGTACAGTAAGAGGTAATGGAAAATGTGGGGACTTGGAGAGTTTCTACCCCTTAAAGAAGACGTTGCTGTATAGCTGTAGAAGATTGTTGCCATGTGGGCATGTAGGTCTATGGTGCTTAATCTTCTGATGCTTCAAAAGAAGCTAAAAATTGTGATTTCAGTGAGAAATCTCCCAATTTCTTAAAATTGAAAATCAATACAGATGTTTGCAAAATACACTGTGGGCCAAACCAAAGCAGATATGGTCTATAGGTCATGAGTTTGTGACCTCTGCATTAAGCATCTGAAGTTTTCATGGGCTTATTAATCTTTTTTTTAATCTGTCATTCTTGCAACAAGCCAGAAGTAAAAATATGGCATACTCAACTATACAGTTATGTAATTTCAAATCACAACTTTGAAATAACTAAATGAAATTGATAATCATATCAAACTCCTTTTTTGCATTTTAGATTTTGCCAAGTATGGCCAAGTACATTATCTCATATTTTCCTCATAAGCAGGGTAAGTGTTATTGCATGTTTTTCACAATTTAAGAAAATTAATCCAGAAAGATTATGGAAACAGCCTAACATCACCCACACGCATGGTTGAACTGGGTCTTGAATTGAGCACCAGTGGATTTATGCCTCCTAAACTTTCTCTAAATTATCTACCCTACCCTCGAATCCATTTATTCTAGGCACAATCCCAGACAATTATCCCAGAATAATTTTTAGATCCTGTTTTTAACACTCATTTGAAATTGTCCTTTTATACACCTAAATCACTTCGTACGGGGCAAAAATATGTTGGATTATTGTTCTCAATTTTTTGATAAAGTTACACACCAAGCTCTTTACCATGTGACTGTGTAAGGCTTCCCACTATGGTCAGAGTACATTTACCTGATCAACTGATTTTGGGCCTGGCCAAGTGAATTTCTCTCATAAAAGGACAGGGGAGGAATTGACATTGAACCAGTTCCTAGCTGAGGGCTTAAGAGGCATTCTGTGTTTCCACTCTTTCTCTTGAGCTTTTATAATCTGGTATAAGAGGAGCCTGTCCCAGTCTTCTTTGCTCCTGATTCAATGCCAGATGGAGCTATGTGGAGCAGACCCAGACCTGACGTGCAGCCTGGAGTCAAGTCCTTCCTAATTCAGCCAGGATCAGCAAAACTCCATATAACCCACTGATTTATGAGTGAGAAAAATAAATATTAGTTGCTATAAGGTATTAGGATGAGGGAGGGTGTTTGTCATGCAGCATTGTAGCCATACCTGACAACTACAGTGTTAAAATCATCCTAGTGTAAATAGTAATTTCCATGCTTAGACCTTTGACAATTCATCTTGACAACAGGAAAAATTTTAGAAGTAGCTGAATAAGAGGAATGTATGGTTTTGGAGAATGATGTTCTTTTAATGTCTAGACTAGTACTCCTAAGACAGTTAGATAAGACTCTGAGTAAAGAAAATAGAAAAGAAGAGCATGTTTTCATTGGAATGTAATGAAATTGAATATCAGCTGATTAATGCCCTTTGAAAACAGTGGTATTCAAGGGTTATTGCTGATCCAGACCAGATCAATCACTATTAAGAAAATAGATTTGTGAATTTTCTAGTTTGCCAAATAAAAACAAAACAATGCACTTTGTATTCTTTACTGTTTGAGATTCCATATGAACTTTAGGATAGGTTTTTTTTTTATTTCTGCAAAAACATCATTTGAATTTTGAAAGAAATTGCGTTGAATGTGTAGATGTTTGGGGGTAGTATTGACATTTTAACAATATTAAACCTTATCCATTAACACAGGATGTGTTTTTATTTATGTCTTTGATTTATTTCAGCAATGTTTTGTAGTTTTCATTGTACAAGTCATTCTCCTCCTGATAATTCCTGATATGGTTTGGCTTGGTATCCCCACCCAAATCTCATCTCAAATTGTAATCCCCACGTCAAGGGAGAGACCTGGTGAAATGTGGTTGGATCATGTAGGTGGTTTCCCCCATCCTGTTCTCGTGATAGTGAGTGAGTTCTCATGAGATCTGATCCTTTAAAAGTGTTTAGCAATTCCACCCCTTGCGCTCTCTCTCTCTCTCCAGCTGCCATGAGATGAGAAGACATGCCTTACTTTTTTTTTTTTTTTTTTGCCTTCTGCCATTATTGTAAGTTTCCTGAGGCTTCTCAAGCCATGGGGAACTGTGACTCAATTAAACCTTTTTTGTTTGTAAATTACTCAGTCTCAGGCAGTTATTTATAGCATTGTGAGAATGGACTAATAATAATTCCTAACATTTTTTCAATGCTATTATATTTAGAATTGTTTTTTAAGTTTTTTCATACTGTTCCTTGTTAGTATATAGAAATGCATATGATTTTCCTTTGTTGCCTTTACATTCTGCTACTTTTATAAATATGTTTATTAGTTTTTACAAGTTTCTTGTGGAATCTTAAGGTTTTATACATATAAGATTATATTACCTGTTAACAGAGATAATTTTACTTCTGCTTTTCCAGTTTGAATTGCTTTTATTTCTTTCTCTTGCCCACTTTCTCTGGCTAAGAGATTCAGTATTATGTTTAATAGAAGTAGTGAAATAGGCATCCTTGCCTAGTTCCTGATCTTAGAGGAAAAGTTTGTTGTTTGCCATGGGTTTTTCATATACAACTTTTATTGTATTGAGGTAGTTTCCTTCTATTCTGTGTTTATTGAGTGCTTTTATCATGAAAGGGTGTTGCATTTTGTCAAATACTTTTTCCGCCTCAATTGATATGATCAATCATGTGGAGTTGTTTTTGTTACTTCATTCTGTTAATATGGTGTATTACATTGATTGATTTTCATATGTTGCACCATTCTTACATTCAGGAATAAATTTCACTTGGTCATGGTGTGTAATCTTTTCAATATTCTTCTTAATTTGATTTAATAGTATTTTGTTAAGGATTCTTGCAACAACATTCATACAGGATATTGACCTATAGTTTCCTTTCCTTGTAATGTCCTTGTCTAGTTTCTGTATCAGGCTAATGCTGACTGATAGAGCGATGTAGGAAGTACCTCCTCTTCTTCAATTTTTTGGAAAAGTTTGAGAGAGATTGGTATTAATTATTTAAATGTTTGGTAGAAATCACCAGTGAAGCCATCAGGTCCAAGGCTTTTCTTTGTCAGGAGATTGTTTATTTTCTTACTTTTGGTCTTTTCAGATTTTCTGTTTCTTTATTATTTAGTAGGTTTTTTCTTTCTAGGAAATTGTCCATTTTATGTAGGATATCAATTTGTTGATGTACAATAATTCATAGTATTCACTTTTAGATGTTTCTATTTCTGTAGAATTGGTGATAATATCCTCATTTTCATTTCTGATTTTGGTAATTTGAGTCTTCTGTCTTTTTTTCGTAGTTCCTGTAAGCAAAAATTTGTCAATTTTGTTCATCTTTTCAAATAAGCAACTTTTGGTTTCATTTATTTTCTTCATTGTTTTTGTATTCTCTATTTTGTTTATCTTTGCTCTAATCTTTATAATTTTCTTCCTTCTGCTAGTTTTGGGTTTAGTTTCTTCTTTTGCTAGTTTCTTACATTGATTTAGCACTGCTTTCAATACATTATATAAGTTTTGGTATGTTACATTTTCATTTTCATTAATCTCTAAGTATTTTCTAATTTCCCATGTGATTTTTTCTTTGATCCATTGGTTGTTTAAGAGTGTGATGTTCAATTTCAACAAATTTGTAAATTTTCCAGTTTTTCTTCTGTTATTGATTTCTAACTTCACAATCTTACAGTCAGAAAAGATAATTGTATGATACCTTTTTTATTAGGACATAATTTATGGCCTAACATATGATCTATACAGGAAATTGTCTCATGTCCTCTTCAGAAGAATGTATATGCTGTTGTTATTGGATAGAAAGTTCTGTATATGTCTGTGAGAGCTATTTGATTTATTGTGTTGTTCAAGTCCTCTCCTTTTTAATCCTATCTGGTTGTTCTTGTTATTATTAAGGGTGGGATATTGAGGTCTCCAAGCATTACTTCTCTCTTCAATTCTGCCACATTTTTCTTCATAAACTTTGGTGGTATGTTCCTAGGACCATAAGCGTTTATAGGTAGTATATCTTTTTGCTGTATTGAATATTTTGCTAACATATAATATCCTTCTTTTTCTCGAAGTTTATTTTGTCTAATATTAATATAGCCAATCTTTCTGTCTTTTAGTTACTATTTGCATGGAATATCTTTTCCATCCTATCACTTTTAATTTATACATGTCTTTGGATCTAAAGTGAGTCTCTTGCAAATAACATATAACTGAATCATTTTTAAAATTCATTCTGCCAATTTCTGTCTTTTGATTGGACAGTTTAATATCTATTTACATTTAAACTAAGAGCTTACAAGGAAGAACTTAATTCTGTCATTTTTTTATTTCATTTTCATATTTCTTACACTTTTTCCCCCTGCATTACTGTCTTCTTTGTGTTTAGATGATTTTTTTCAGTGAAACATTTACATTTGTTTCTCATTTCTCTTCATGCATATTCTACAGCTACTATTTTCTTTGTGGTTACCATGGGGATTATATTTTACTTCCTAAAGTTATAGCACTCTAATTTGAATTTATATTAGCTTAACTTAAATATTGTGCAATAATTTTCTTTCTTTACATCCCCATTCTCACCCTTTTGGTTGTTGATGTCACGAAGTTACATCACTATGTCTTTATACATTGTGTATCCAAAAACAAAAACTGTCAATTTTTGAAAAATACATTAGCCTTTTAAATTATGTAGAAAACAAACTGTAGCTAACTGTATTAGCTTTGAACTAATAATCTTTGCAATGTATTGCTCTCTTAAATTGTATAAAAACTGGAGAAATAAACTCCTGTTACAGTAACACTAGCTTTTATAATTGTTCATGTATTTACCTTTATTGAGATCTTTACTTCTTCACACAGCTTCAAGTCACTGTCTAGTGACCTTTCATTTTATCTTGCAAGACTCCCTTGATAATTTCCTGCAGCAAAGTTCTCATGGTTACAAACACCCTGGCTTTTGTACTGTTGGCAATGTTACAATTTCTCCCTCACTTTTGAAGTACAGTTTTTCCAGGTGTAAGATTTTTAGTTGACATTCTTTTTACTTTTCACAGATTGAACATATCAGTCCACAGCCTTCTGGCTTCCAAATTCTCTGGTGAGAAATCTCTAATATTCTTATTGAGTATCCCTTGTATATGACAAGCCATTTCCCTTTCATTGCTTTCAAGATTCTCTCTTTGTCTGTCAAAAGTTTGATTATTATCTATCTCAGTGCAGATTGCCTTGAGGTTATCTTACTTGGAGCTCATTGAGTTTCTTGAATGTTCTTATTCCTGTCTTGCCTCACGTTTGAAAAGTTTACAGCCATAATTTCTTCAAATATCCTCTTTGTCCCTTTCTCTCTCTTATTTTTGGACAGCTACAATGTATGTGTTGGTCCAGTTGGTGGTGTCCCACAGGTATCTCAGGCTCTGTTCACTTTTTGTCAATCTTTTTTTTGTTCTGCTTCTCAGATTCAGTAATTTCTATTGTCTTATATTCATGCTCACCCATTTCTTTCTTCTGCCTACTCACATCTGCCTTTTAGTCCTTCTAGTAAATTTTTTATTTCAGTTGTACTATTCAGCTTCACTATTATTTTGTTTCCTTTTAGGTTTTCTATCTCTTCTTTGATATTTTCATTTTCTTCATACCAAGTTTTCTTGACTTTCTCCACATCTTCCTTTAGATCTCTGAGTATCTTTAAGTATATATTTTTTCATTGTTGTAGGCTGTGACTGTGCCAAGAATCAGGAATGTTCAAATATATCTGAGCCTGTTTCTTTCCCTGGGCATGCATGGCCACTTTCTAATTTCCTTCATACATGTAATTACCTTTGAATGTTTTAGTCTTTAATTTTTGACTCCTGAAGGGAAAAAGACGAAAATAAGGGTGAGAGGAGAGAAGGGTGCTGGACCCTTAAATCCCCAGAGAGGAAGGGGCATGCAACAATGGAGGAAGGTGCAAAAATAATAGCTCCCTGCATCTTTATCTGCACTTCCATGATTAGAAGCAGCAGTCATTAGTCAAACCACAGATACCCAATATTTGAAGGACAAGGTGCTTTTTGCTCACCCTGTCTCTTTCAAGCTGTTCCTGGAACATGTGCACAGCTATCTGCTACCAGGTTGGAGGGGATACGTAGCTACTACTGTGCTAAGAGCTAAAATTAATCAAAATTAACTACAATTTACTGTCCAAGCTTTCCTCTGAAATTTGCAAGCTTTTAATAGGCTCCAGATCTCCAAAATAATTACATTAGACAAATTATGCAAGTGCAATTTTTGTCTGGGTGGGGAGACAAATTTCTGATACTTCCTACTCCACCACTTTCCCAGAATTCTATCTTTTAAAAGATAACATTTTACAGACTGCCTTAAACTAAATAATAGCCAAAAAAAAAGTCCCAGGAAAGCATCTTGGCTAATTAAATAAAACATTGAATAAGTCACCTTTTCAATTAACACTTTCTTTGAGGTAAACTATCAAATGACTGAGTAACACATTCTCACCTCCAGCTAGAAGAGTGTGAATCCTGGCAGCTGGAATATTTCTCATTCTCAATAATTGGCTCAAGACATGAAATTTTTTAAAACTTGATATGTCTTCAGAGAGACACACATTATCAGTGAACTACATGAAACCATGGATTTCAATTGTTGCTTTGCATATCTAGTATATCTGCTGGCTTTTGGAATACAAAGAGGTCATTGCCCTTGGTGTTCAAAATATGTATCACCTATTTTTGAGCTCAGAGTAACAATGGCATTCTTGATTTACCCATTTTGAAAAACCTCAATGAGCTCAGTTATACTCCCTGGTCAGAGTACAGGGAGTTCTCACAAAGTAAATGCTACCACATAATCTAAGCACTTGTCATCTTTTTTTTAAAGAATTCAAAAGGAGTAAAATACATGTAATATTAAACATTTATTGTTTATAATTTAGGAGACTTGGAGTTGCAGGGTGTGATATGCAGGTTGAAAGTTAAGTGCTAAGCTTAGTTCAAAAACCAGTTTTATTTATTCAGTTCTCCCTCTACTTTATTCCTAAATTCAGGCACCAAATATTAAGGATTCTTTCTCTCCCTCTCAGAACTATCGCCCATATAAAATTTTTCATCTCCACCTCACAGTCTTTTGGTCACTGGCATTGTTCATTTCCCAACTACCTCTGCTACCATTCCAATTCATTTACCACATTGCCTCCAAAGTTATCTTTGTAAAACCTAAACATGCTTTTACAAAGTTAGCTTTGTAAAACCTAATCATTTCTATATGTAAAAAAATTTTTGCTTTCTTATATCAAAAGTATCAATTCCAAAGTCCATATCTTGTTATATATGGTCATTTACAATTTGGGCTCAATCTATCTTCATTGTAGATTCTAAATTTCTACTTCGTGCATACTATAGTTATCACACTATGGCTGGCATCATGATTGTTCAGCCTGGGCAGATGTTCAGGATTATGTCCTCAGAAGCACCTCTTACTTGGTTTAAAGCTATACTATTGCTGTCTTGAAATTCTTAATAATTCTGCCTTTGAATATGTGTTTTGGAAATGAAGTCTAGTGGAATAATGGAGCACATACATGAGCAGAGGAGATAGGCACATTACGGATGTCTGCAGTTCATTGCTGCTGCCTCTGCAAATGTTTGTGATGCCCCATGAACACAGAATTCCATGGACCCACAATGTATGAAAGTTTAGCACGACTCTAAGCAAGTGCAATATGTTTGTGACAACTAAAGCTAAGTAAGTGGTTTCTTTAAAAGACTTGAGAGCCTACACTTTTTGTTTTAGCAAGAACTTCCATTGAATGAAGAAAGATGGTGATGTCATTCTAAAAACCGCAAATGATCAAGTAATCTTTTCATATCTTTTTTTATTCATGTTACTTACCTATATTAAGCAGCTACTTATTTAACATGATGACATAGAATGAAGGGAAAGATAAGACAACCTATAGTTCTTTTTCCTTTCAGTTATTTCTACTCGTCAGTAAGCTGAAGGTGGAGAGTGTTGATATAATATGCACATATCAATATGTGAAATAGAAACAGTTGCATTAGTTTTGTATAGAATTTCCACTCTTATGTAAGAATAAAATACATATGTATGTATTTTCCATGAAATAACTGTATAATTTTGGCTTCTGAGTTAAATGCTCTTATATTTGCATTTAAAACTTGCATGACACAGTATAAAGATGAATGGGAAAATTTAAAATAATAATTTGAATGGTTAGGTTTTTTACATAGGAAGACGCTAAATAGCAAATTAAAAAGGGATTAACCAACACTATAGATATACCTGTAGGAAAAAGTCTTTCACTAAGAAAATATACTTAAAAAATTGCACTGATATTCCAGATAAACATGAAACATGAAAAAAATATAAAAGTTTTAACAGAATTTTTCCTGCATTTCTTAAACAAAGGGGCTGGCATTTTTATTTTTTCACTGAGCTTTGCAAATTATATAGCCAGCCCTGCATCACACTTCTTGTTCGTTCTTCAAAACACTAAGCTCCTTTCATAATGTATTCATTCTTCTACCTGAATTGCTCTACTCCTAAACCCGAGAACTCCTACACATTCTTCAAAGCCCAATGCAAATGTCACCTTCTCTGTGAAACTTTTCCCAAAGCTCCTAGTACAAAGTTGGTCATTCCCTTCCCACTATATATAGACTGTGAGGCCTTTGGAAGGAGGTCCTAGGAACAATTACAATATTTATTACATAAGTAACTGTTGGGTTAAAAAATTATTGGATGAGATGGTGGTCAAAGATGATGGGTGAGAAGGGGCTTATATTCTATGATTTGCATTAGAATCCTACACTCATCTAGAGATGACATTGCTTTTGTCACTTGAGCTTCCATTGGTTGCCTAATAAAAGTACTTGAAATTTTAAACAGCTTTCTGCTTATTGAGTCAAGACCCATTTATTTTTCCCTTTTGAGATGAGAGCATGACTCATACAGCTAAATGTGATCTTATTTCCAGCCATTAAACAATGTTAATTTCATGGGCTACAGAGAGAAGCTTATGCAAATGAATATGGTTTTGTCTGCACACAGCTTATTAATATGAATAGGCTAGCAATTCATGATCCATAGCCTTCCTCAATAGGCATGATTCAGAAGGTCAAGGTTATTTTTTTTCCTGAAAAGAAACTTATATTAATATGCAGATAACTTCTCAGGTGTAGCCTCAGGACCACTCACATTCTAAACAGCTCATTCTACTGTATAAAAAGTCAACGAACTGAAGAGCAAATATTAAAGGAAATCTGAATGTTTTTGTGTAACCCCACGGAATTCAGAGTGGGCAAAAGGATACTACTTGCTGAACTTGATCTGACGCTCTTAACTCATTCAAAAGCATGCCAAACATATCTACTCTAATGTGTAGCACTTCTGAGCATGGAAATGCAATTTTTCACTGTGAAAGATGATGATATTTCTTGCACTCATGAGAAACCTTAATAGTTTCCGTGCATCATTGGTACACATAAGTTATGGATGTTTCATGTTAATATCTGGACAGTATATAATATAGAATATATTCATGAAGAACAAAATGAAAGATCACTTAGCTAAAATAGGTATTTATCATGTTTGAGTTGTGCTCATCCTTCTTTGTATAAAGCCATTTTTCCTAGAGAAAATATCATTAATTTAGTGTCCCTCAAATGCCAGATTTGTATTGTTTTTCCAAAAGTGGGGTAAGGCAGATTGCTTCTGCTCTGATATGGTTTGGCTGTGTCCCCACCCAAATCTCATCTTGAATTGTATTTCCCATAATTCCCACGTGCTGTGGGAGGGATCCAATGGGAGATAATTGAATCATGGGGGTGGTTTTCCCCATACTGTTCTCATGGTAGTGAATAAGTCTCAGGAGATCTGATGATTTTATAATTGGTTTCCCCGTTTGCTTACCTCCCATTTTCTCTCTTGTCTGCTTCCCTGTAAGATGTGCCTTTTGCCTTTCACCATGATTGTGAGTCCTCCCCAAGCTACGTTGAACAGTAAGTCCATTAAACCCCTTTTTCTTTATAAATTATCCAGACTCAGGTATGTCTTTATCAGCAGCGTGAAGATTGATTAATATATGGTCTAATCTGGTGTCCCTTGAAATTAAATTGTAAATGTGTAAGATACTTGTTAGGTTAAGACCCTGAAACATCAGGTTATATATAACCTGAGAAATGCCTGGGTGTCTAAATGAAAATCTACTTTTGGATCTCAGCCTAGGTATGGTGATATTCTAATAAATCAAGATTATCACTGCACATCCAAAATATGAAAGTAGGAATTCTTAAAATTGGAAGAAGTATAGGTCCATCTTTCAAGCCATGTTGGAAATCTCTTTTTTGTCAGCATTAAAAGTATGAGACAAAGTAAGAAAATATTAATGAACAAAACACTCAAGGAATTCACATACAATCAGTAATAGTGTCCTGCTAATTCTCCATTCGAGGTATCTTTTTCATCTGTTTAACTTCTCTTCATCTACATTCCCCAAAACATAACGGAGGTCACGATGAAATCACATCTGGATTCCTTAAGCATCCCCTTAACAGTCATGGCTCTAGAAATCCTCCTTCCAATCAGTTTTCCACACTACAACCATAATGCTGTTTTGGTCAATTGTTTGCAAAGCTTAAAGCTTTGCAGCGGGTTTTTCATAGTTCTTAAAACCCAAAACACTAAACATGTCTTAGGAGACCCCCCTGGCTCCTAGTACTGATTCTCAAGCCTCAGCTTCTACTATTTTCTCTCAGTCTCACCTTTGTTCTTTAATGTTTAGTCCTTTTGAACTCTGACCCCAGATTATCATTCTTTCCATTGTGATTTGGCTAACTCTTACTGAGAATATAAGTCTTAAAAAAATGATGATAGTGCAAAGAATTTCTAACTTCCATATTAGATCCTCAGGATATGAGTGCTATAATACTCTATATTTCCCCTTTCGCAATTTTCATCATGATGGGAGTTCTTCGTTCAATGTCTGTATTTTCTACCTTCTTAAAAATTGGTGAGAGTAGGGATATATCTGGCTTATACAGCACTCTATAGCTAGGATCTAACAGTATTTGGCAAATAATAGATGCTTGATGTTTGCTAAATTCATTGAAAATCAAGGTTAGAAATGCTTCTTGGAGTCTTTTAAGTTACTTAGCCTTAATTACTAATAATCCAGTTAAGGCTAAGTAATTTATAACCTAAACATATTGAGTAGGGGATGGGCAGTGACAACGAAAAGAAAGAAAAAGATATCACAATTTTACTTATATAACTTGGATTCGGTCACTTTATTTCCCTACACCTCTTTTTTTTAATTCATAACAATGACATGGGGATCATGTCACTGACTGTCAGAACTCAGTTACTAATGTGTAAGAGTGGCCAAAGCCATGAGTTTTAATATCAGCCCCAAAATATTCGTAGTAGAGGCTTGAAAACCACAAATTTAATATTCCTCCTTGATTAACCTCTAGTTTTCCTATATTTGTTATGTCTATTTATAGACATAAATCTTTATCCATGTTAGTATAGATATGAATATATGCATATTTTTCACCTTCTTCATTTATTCTATATTCCCAGGCAGTCATCAAGCTAGGCATCAATACACAGAGCTTTCATTCTTTGTCATAAACCAATGATTCTCAAATACTTTCCTATACTCTTCTCACTGTCAGACCTAAGTATTCAGCTGTCTACTAAGCATCTCCATTCAAATATTCCATAATCATCCCAAACCTGGTGTGTTCTAAACTATATTACCTTTATTGTTTTTGAGGAGAATAGAGACGATGGCATATTAACCTGTTTGTGGTTAATGGTTTGTATAAAATTCATGAAAATTGTTTCTTTATAACATTTAACATTAAATATCTTTTGGCTATGCACTGATGAGAAAATAAGAAGGCAGGAGGACAAGATAACACACTTCAAACCAGATCGGCGACAAGCACTATGCCCTAAGAGCCAAACTTGAGGTTAATAATAATTTTTACAGTTGGATAGCTGCAGGAAAAAGATTACTACGAAATGATTTGAAATCACCAGTGGCTCCATAGATACCACAAGGCAACATTTATGGGACAGGCAGGTGTTTGGAGTAGCGATACTTTCATACATCCTAGGAGCAGAAGATTGAGCTAGATAAAATTGAGGTTCAATTACTGGAATTCTTCTGAACCCTCCCTTGCCTAATGGTACCTGATTAAGCCCTCTCTTGTCTGTTTTCTCCCAGTAAAACTTAGTGGCTCTTCTTTGTCTAATCTGTCCTATGGAATCCTTGTTAGACCTCTTTTGTCCAAACCTTCCCTTGGAGAAGGCCCCTATCACCATAGTGATGACATGGGCATCGTCATTAAACTAACTTTCAATTTTTGATCAAATTTATCGTCTTCACTAATAATAACCTCAAGCCTTATGGCCAAGTTAGGGAATTTCTGGGCCAAGCATCTTCCCTCCCATCAACTGCTTTCTTGTATCCTAATTAATTAAAAATAATTCTTTTCACTAAATTCAGAAACCTACAAGACATCTTAGATATACTCACTCTTTACTCCTGGCCCATCTAACTAGCCACAAAATTATGTTAACTGTACTTCCTAAATAGTTTTCCACTACCATTATCTCAGTTCAGGTTACCATCAAATCTCACTTGCATAATGTCAACAGATTTCTAAATGTTCTCCTTGTATAAGTTTCTACTTCCAACCCCATCTATTATTCTCCTCCTATTCTCATTTACCTTGGCATCAAAGTGATCTTTCTAAAATTCAAAATTTACCAGATCACTCAATTACTAAAAATGTTTCAGTGGCTCTTTTTAAAATATTCCATGTCTTGGCACATAAAGCCCCTATTAGCTAACTTCAGCACAGGTCCGCTCCAGCCCTATGGCTTACCATTATTTTGTCCATATTCTACATTCAAGGTCAGGAGCTGTGTTTCACCCATCTATGAATTCCTGAAGCTATATTTTGGAAGCCCTGGATATCTTATTTTTATTAATGACAATCAATCATATAACCGAAGGTAAAAGAGTCTCAAAATAAAAAGGAGTATTCAATGAGCTGATTTCTAACCAAATATCTGACTACGTTAAGAGAATAGCCCAAAGCCAAGAAAATTGTGTGTGCGTGTGCATGTTTATTTTTAAGTGGAAAAGTGGAGGAGCTTTTTAAATTTGAATATATAAAGATGACGTTTGGAAAAATATGACAGAAATTTTTGTACATTTTGTTATAAATTCTATTTCAAACTTCAACTTCAAATGGAAGAAAAATATTTGTAAAAAGTAGAAACATAGTATTTGGTCTAAAACACTAATTTAAAAAATACCAATATTTCTTCTGAACTGAACGTAGAAAAGGTAATAGTCAAAAAGCCTAAAAGCATTCCCTAAAATAAATCCATTTTTAATGCAATTTTAAAAGCCTATGTTATTCTTAAAGTCTAAATGGAAGCCTCAATTTTATTTATTAATGAATTCAAAATATTCAAACTGGCTGCTCTTCCTATTGAAAAGTGCTAGATAGCCAGATGCTGACCCATGGATAACTTAAAAAAAATGAAAGAAAAGCAAAAGAAGAAACTGTTAGCTTTTCAAAAAAGGGTATGGGGGCCGGGCACGGTGGCTCACACTGGTAATCCCAGCACTTTGGGAGGCCGAGGTGGGTGGATCGCCTGAGGTCAGGAGTTCTAGGCTAGCCTGGCCAACATGGTGAAACCCCGTCTCTACTAAAAATACAAAAATTAGCCGGCCACGGAGGCGTAAGCCTGTAATCCCAGCTACTCGGGAGGCTGAGGCAGGAGAATCACTTGAACCTGGGAGGCGGAGGTTGCAGTGAGCCGAGATCGTGCCATTGCACTCCAGCCTGTGATACAAGAGTGAAACTCCATCTCAAAAAAAAAAGGGTATGGGACTCTGAGAGTAGCATTGCATTTCAAGAATTTAATCTAAAACACCTACATTTCTCTGAGTTGTTCAATCAAAGGATGGTGCACCGGTGTCTATGGAGATGTGTTTGCCCATCTTTTTTCTCCATTTTATAAAGTCTAATCTTCTTATATATTATACAACATCTGTATCTTTTTCATGCTATGTAACTTCCACAGAACTCATACAATGTAATTAATACACACAACTAGTGCAATCTGGCTTCTGCAGAGCATAAATTAGACACTCAATACATGCTTGTCATTTGAATGAGGCACTCCATCTTAAATGCTGCCCCTAATTCATTGGTTGGCTCCCTACAGAACAATCCATTAGTCTCTTTTTTTATTTCTTAAAATATTTATCTTTATTTCTATCTGCCATGTTCCTAGCCAACTGGGTACAAATATGTCTGGACAGAGATCTCACACCGGGTTTGCTTATGCTATTTCTGCTGCCTGGGATGCCTCCTTAACCACACCCATGTCACTCTTCCTAGTGGAAAACTAGGCTACATCTAAATATCACTTTAAACTCTGACACTTAACTGAAGTGCTCCCTGTTCACTCTAGTTAATAATACTTTCTTCCTCATCCAAATGCATATTGTATTTCATTTGCATCTCTCATGTGGTACTTTTCTCTTTCTACCTTCCATTCTAATTTTTTTAGCTTATCATTCTTTCTAGAATACAAACTCCTTACACATAGGATCCACATCTAAGTCACTTTTGTTTCACAATTTTCTTGTTCAGTGCTATTTAACTATAAATATATTTTTAAAACAATGCTTTCTACCCATAAGAGAACCCGTTGAAGGTCTTTTAACTTATAGTTTATATACGATTTTAATAAGCTTGATATGAAGGAAAAAGAAGTAGGAAAATATAAAAAGCAAACACAAGCGCCTTTAAATCACAGCTCATTGGAATCACTTGTATGAAAACAAATAATCTTTATATACCAGAGGATGTTAGTAAGATGCAAGTCAGAGGAATAACTGATGTGCATAAAATATACCCTGAACCTTAAATACTTTAATGTGCTATTTACTATTTATTAATAATACCTTATTTATTATGCAATTATAATTCAATAAATTTACACAGTAATGTAACTTTTAATAAATTACTAATAACTATTACTAACAATACCTTATTCACTATTTAATTATAATAATCCAATAAATTTTTAGGGAGCTTTAACATTTACAAAGCATTTTTACATCTATTATAAAAGTCTTCACACTATGGCTAAAAAATACATAAATATCAAGCCCACCAGATTTTGCAGAAGAAAAAGCTGAAAGTCAGTGGGTCAAGTTAGATGTTATCTAGGTCATACACTAAAAAGTGGGAAAGTCAAGGTTCAATTCTTAGTGTGGTAACTCTGGGAGTGAAACAGACTGAGTTCTCACTGCCTATGAGACACTGAAAAGAGGGAAACAAAAATAAATGAACAAGCAGTGTGTCGTGTTGTTTTAATGGAGAAAAATGATGAACAGAGAGCAGAACCTTTTGAGATAAAGTGATCAGGGAAAACACCGTGGAAAAGGTTATTTTTAAGCTGATGCCTGAATCATGGGAAAGAGCAAAGCATTAAAACAAACAAAAACAGGGAAAGAGCATTCAGGTATAGAAACAGGGTTGCACAAAGGCCTGAAAAGGAGAAATTTCAGCCTTCTTCCCATGACATAAAATATGCTTTATGAAGTGGCTTCCAAGTGCTAATCACATGCCAGCTGCTCTTCATCCCTTCTAGCCCTCACACTCAAAGACATTCTAAGCATTTCCTGCACTACATCTTCCTTTATACTTTTGCAGATACTATTTCCTCTTCCAGGCCTCTCTATATTGAAAACAAATATTGCTCCTCAAAAACTTTTATCAGGAGGACTTCATTCTTTCATCTTTAGCTATATCCCTCACTCCAGTCTAACTGTGTCTCGCCCATATATTTTAAAATCACTCTCATTTTTTAACAGCTTTAATGAGGAATAATTTATATAATGTAAAGTCACCTGTTTTAAGTATACAATTCAATTAACTTTTAGTATATTTACAAGAATTTTACAACTATCATCACAATCTAATTTTAAAACATGTCCATCACTCAAGAAATTTCATGTTCATATATAGTCCTTCCTCATTCCCACCCCCAACCCTATGCAAGCACTAACCTCCTGTTTCCATAAGATTTACCTTCTCTGAACATTTTACATAAACGGAATCATATATATGATATGTGCTCTACATCTGGTTTCTTCCACTGAGCATGTTTTTGAAGCTCATCTCAGCTGTACATATTTCAGTACTTCTTTCTTTTAATTGATGAGTAGTATTCCATTGCATGGATGTACCATATTTTGTTTAAATATTCTCCAGTTGGTGGACATTTTTGCCATCCAGGTTTTGTCTGTTGTGAATTACACTGCTGCTTTATTTTCTCTTTGTTTCTACACATCTATCTCCCCCTATTGGACTGTGAGCACCCTTACAGCATGCAGCACAGTGCAACTCTTTAGTCTCAGCAACAGCTGTTACTGGTACAGAGAAAGTACTCACAGGTTTGCCGAACTCTGAGCCCAGATCCCCCTCTTCAAGATGGAGGCACTCACAGCCCTCTGAGGCTTACCTACCAGTTGCTCCCCAGGGATTGCTCTTTGGTAGGAAGCTAATTTGCACAAAGAATACTCCCGAGGAGCAGCCTGAATCCAGAGACTGATCTATGTGAGGATGCGAAGACCTGAACCCTTGCCTCCATTCAGCACATCTCTTCAGGGCATTCTAGCCTCATAGCATCCTGTGGGATCTGCCGATGCTTTGGTTACCACCACAGCCCAGTCACTCTCCTACCTAATCCTGCCTTCCTTGTCCTCCCCTCCAACTCCACTGTTATGGCTAAGAGCACTCCCTAATAAAACTTCTGAAAGTAAATCTCAGTCTCAAAATCTGTTTTCTGGGGAGCCTAGTCTGCTTGTGGCATGCAATAATATATTGCCCCCTTTTACGTGGTGAGTTCAGACAAGGAAGTTAGCTATTAAGGATATATAATCTTCAATACCCCTTCTTTAATCACAGGCAGTGTGTAGTCTGTTGTTTGTGGTATAGCTGCAACCTAGTGTGTCCGGAATTGGTGGGTTCTTGGTCTCACTGACTTCAAAAATGAAGCTGTGGACCCTCGCGGTGAGTGTTACAGTTCTTAAAGGTGGCGTGTCCGGAGTTTGTTCCTTCTGATGCTTGGATGTGTTCAGAGTTTCTTCCTTCTGGTTGGTCTGTGGTCTCGCTGGCTTCAGGAGTGAAGCTGCAGACCTTCGCGGTGAGTGTTACAGCTCTTAAGGCGGCGCGTCTGGAGTTGTTCCTTCTTACCGGTGAGTTCGTGGTCTCGCTGACTTCAGGAGTGAAGCTGCAGACCTTCGTGATGAGTGTTACCAGCTCATAAAGGCAGTGTGGACCCAAAGAGTGAGCAGCAGCAACATTTATTGCAGAGTGAAAGAACAAAGCTCCACACACAGCAGAAGGGGACCCGACTGGGTTGCCACTGCAGGCTCGGGCAGCCTGCTTTTATTCTCTTATCTGGCCCCCACCCACATCCTGCTGATTGGTCCATTTTACAGAGAGCCAGTGGTCTGTTTTGACAGGGCGCTGATTGGTGCGTTTACAATCCCTGAGCTAGACCCAAAGGTTCTCCACGTCCCCACTAGATTAGCTAGACACAGAGTGTCCACACAAAGGTTCTCCAAGTCCCCACCAGAGTAGCTAGATACAGAGTGTCGATTGCTGCATTCACAAACCCTGAGCCAGACACAGGGTGCTGATTGGTGTGTTTACAAACCTTGAGCTAGATACAGAGTGCCGATTGGTGTATTTACAATCCCTTAGCTAGACATAAAGGTTCTCCAAGTCCCCACCGGACTCAGGAGCCCAGCTGGCTTCACCCAGTGGATCTCGCACTGGGGCTGCAGGTGGAGTTGCCTGCCAGTCCCGCGCCGCGCACACTCCTCAGCCCTTGGGTGGTCGATGGGACTGAGCGCCGTGGAGCAGGGGGTGGCGCTCGTCCGGGAGGCTTGGGCTGCACAGGAGCCCACGGAGGCAGGGGGAGGCTCAGGCATGACGGGCTGCAGGTCCCGAGCCCTGCCCCGCGGGAAGGCAGCTAAGGCCCCGCGAGAAATCGAGCGCAGCGTCGGTGGGCCGGCACTGCTGGGGGACCCAGCACACCCTCCGCAGCCGTTGGCCCTGGTGCTAAGCCCCTCATTGCCTGGGGCCGGCCGGCCGCTCCAAGTGCGGGGCCCGCCAAGCCCACGCCCACCCGGAACTCCAGCTGGCCTGCAAGCGCCGCGGCGCAGTCCCGGTTCCCGCTCGCGCCTCTCCCGCCACACCTCCCTGCAAGCTGAGGGAGCCAGCTCCGGCCTTGGCCAGCCCAGAAAGGGGCTCCAACAGTGCAGCGGTGGGCTGAAGAGCTCCTCAAGTGCCGCCAAAGTGGGAGCCCAGGCAGAGGAGGCGCCCAGAGCGAGGCAGGGCTGCAAGGGCTGCCAGCACGCCGTCACCTGTCACTAGTAAGTATAATCTAAGTTCTATCTGACCCTTCAGGATGTTAATCAAGTTTAGCCTGAGGCTGCCTCGTTATAGAAGTTCGGCCTAAAGGTTTTTCTGTGTATCATGAACTATAACAAGTAGAGATGTAAGCCGACTTTAGCCCACACCTTTGCCAGTCACTGAGTTTTGGCCAAATGTAGCCAACTGTTCAAACCATGTCCAAATAAGGCAAACGCCAACCGGTAACCAATCCAGCTGTGTACCTCACTTCCCATTTCTGTACATCATTTCCCTTTATTTTTTTCTAGAAATCTTGTTCCATTACGTGGCTGCACTGGAGTCTCTCTGAATCAGCTGTGATTCTGGGGGCTGCCCAATTAGCAAATTGTTCCTTGCTCAACTAAACTCCTTTAAATTTAATTCAGCTGAAACTTTTCTTTTAACAAGAATAAGATCAACTTAACCCCCTTCCCATTCTTTGCTACTTGAACATCAACCGCCATATTCAATATTTCTACAAATTATTGAGGAGTAGGAATAGGAGTTCCTCAGGCTTCCACTCTGCATTTGATTAGTTTACAGACTTTATTGCCCTACCTACTGTCTTTATTTTGAAGTTTATCAATCTAAACAGACCCCTTCCTCAATATTTGCAAAAGTTACACTTACTGTTGAGTACAGTAGATTTTGTTGAATATATGAGGACACAAAGAAAGGGTTTGCACTTTAATAAAACCAACAGTTTCAGTGGAGTACTAGACGTCACTCATCTTAAATTTTCGTTTGTTCTTCCTATGATGAATTTTGCCCTGGTCACTTCATTCCAAGGAGTGTGTCAACCTCATGCCACCTCACTGATTTTTCTCATTCTCCGTGTCTTAATGACTTCTCACTCACTTTTATTTCTTTCCCATTTCCCCTTTCTCTCAGGACCATATTCCTCTCAAACTTTTTTAAATGTAGTTAGTAAAGTTCTCTGTTGCCTTTCTACCCATTCACTCTGAACTCATTTGTATCCCAAATGGCTTTCAAGTCTTTTTCGTTAGATAGCTTTCTCCTAAAAGGAATTCTTGTGCCAGCTATTAAGATAATGTATTTTTTATTTTTACTATGTAATGATGCATAATTCATTGTAGAAAAAATACTAATACATTTGTTATTTAATATTTCTGATTGAAGAATTATTCTTCCTTTCTGAGTTCTATACAGTTGGCACTATACAGACAGGGCAGACTGTCTAAAATGTATGTTTAAGTTTTGGATAAAAGTACTGTGTCAAGGGTCTGCAAGAACACCCTCTAGCTTGATAATTCATTAGAAGACTCACAGGATTCAGAAGCTGTTATAGATGCATTTTACTATGGTGGAAGGATTCAGGTTAAAATCAGCAAAGGAAAAGGGAACATGGGGCAAAGTCTGGGAGAAGCTGAGTCCACGCTTCCTGGTGTTTCTCCCAGTAGAGTCACACATGGATACACATAACTCTCCATGAAACGGTAAGTGACAATACATGTAAAGTGTTGCTAACCAGGGAAACTCACCCTAGTCTTGATGTCCAGGGATTTTATTGGAAGTTAGTTAGTTAAGTATGCAACATCTGCGTGACTAGCTTACCTAAGCAGACTCCAGACCCCCAAAGTAAAAACAGGTGTTCACCATAAATCACATTGTTAGCATTACTCTCTGGTCAAACTGGTAAAGCATGCCCCAAGGCCTTAGGCATACAAAAACACTTATCAGGCAGGCATCAAGCTGAGCTCCCATGGACAGCCAGGACCCAGTCTGAAAAACAGGATTTTGTTGGGAATATAGAGAATTTTAGCAATCCAGTCTGTTAGGACATTAATAGATACTATGGTAACTCTAGCATATAATTTCTAGTGTTGCTTCTAGTATCCTATTCATTACATTTATTCATTCATCTAGGCATTATAATAGGATAAGTGTCTCAGAAACATAAATCCAGCCAGTCATGCAGTATGTGTCACTATGAATCAAAGTCCTTCAAAGAAGATACTGGGGACAGCTGTGGGACAGATGGGAATAACCAGACATTCTGAAGATTACCTTGATGGGTATACAGAACTAGATGTTGTCCCCATTCTGGGAAAGAGGTTGCATGAGATCCCAGCTGATCCTATTATGAACGTACCTATTATGTATCCTATTATGTACCTATTATTTACCAAGTACCTATTATGTATCATATTATGTTCCTGTTATGTACCTACCTATTATGTATCCTATTATGTACCTATTATATATCCTATTGTGTACCATGTAGAGTCTTCTCTACCTGGTCCTGTCTATTGTTTTGTCCTTTTGTGCCCATCATGGTTAATCCCACGAGCACTAGGGAAAATATTGAAGCATTACAAAGTGGAGAAGAGTGAGGAAGTAAATCAACTCTTTTTCAGAGACACTGCCCTTTGTGCTGTACAACATCAAAAAATAAGGTTAGTATCTCCTCAAAGACCACTGAATTTGCTAGGACTGTAACCTGAGAAACTGTCTACATCCACTACTCTTTGTACAAAGCAGATTATTAAAACTGGCCCCTTGAAAAGGAGGGCAGAGGCAAAAGCAAGCAGCAAGTACTTCCTGCTGACATAGCTAACAGACCTGCCACTCATTCAGGGTTGCATTTGGTAGAATCTGTCCGTCTTTGTCCCTTTCTTCTTTCCCTGCTTTCTTTCTTCTTTCCATTACATTCCTCCTTCCTTTTATTCCTTTCCTCCACCCCTCTCTCTTTCTCTTTCCAGCCTTTCTTTTCTTCTGTTAACAAATATTCACAGAACTCTACTAGGTCGCAAAAGCTGTACTCTGCACTAAGAATCCAGGAGTAAATAAGGGCAATAGGGCCACTGCCTTCATGAAACTTACAGTTTCACAAGATCCGGCTTTCTAAAGCATAAAAACTTCCATGACCAGCCACTTTTCACATTTGAACACTTGCTTCACTCTCCTGGCTACTCTCTGGTCACTCACCACTGACTCCATCTTAAAGCCCAGTACCTCAAGCCACACTAAGAGTTCTTCCTTGCAGGGCCTCACAATTCACTTTTCTGCTCTGAGCCTCGAGTGTTCTGCATCCTCTGTTGTAATACTCTTTCCACCCAAACCCTTGCCCTTGCCGTGGTTTCTTCTATTCATCCCTCAGGTTTCCTCTTAGTTCTAAAGCAGGGAAGCCTTCTCTGGCTATTCTCTGAGATCAATGCTACTTCTCAAACACCTCCATGCTGGCATGTGAAAGCTACAGGCATAGCAGCTGTCATTTCAAGCTCCATGCCTGAGCCACACAGGGAAACCTTTCCTATGACACATCAAATACACCCACAGGAAGCCATCCCTTTGAATTTTTCTAATTGTGGAATACACTTGAGTAATTTCTGCAGCAAATGAATGCTCTGTCAAGAATTCGAAGGAGAATGTAAAACAAAGAATCAACATCTCACTTCTGCTACTCTGAAGGAAACAGGCACAGGGTTTATCTTGTTATTAATCCTTTGTTCCCCATTATTCCTTCATTCAACATTCAATAATTGTTTAACTCTTTTGTGCCCCCACATAAACAGTTTTCTTCTGAGGGACTCTCACAGTCTTCCTGTTGGCAGTGGTATTAGATTCCTGTTTTGCTACTGTCACAAATTACCACAAACTTCATGGCTTGAAACAACAAATTAATTTTCTTATACTTATGGGAGTCAAAAGTACAACACAGGTCTCAATGGGTTAAAATCAAGGTGTTCGGGATGTGTTCCTTCTGGAGGCCCTAGGGGATAATTTATTTCCTTGCCTTTTCAGCTTCTAGCAGCTCCTTGCATTACCTGACTTAAATCCTTCCTCCTTCTTCAAAGTCAGCAGCATAGCATCATCAAATCTCCCTGCTCCCTGCTTTCACTGTCACATCTCTGTCTTATAATGACCTTTGTAATTATGTTAAATCTATCCAGATAATCCAGAATAATCTTCCTATTTGGAGACTCTTAATTTAACCACATCTGTCAATTCCTTTCACCATGTACGGTAACATATTCATACGTTCTGGGGATTTGGACATAGACATCTTTGGAGGACCATTATTCTATCTGCCTTAGCCATAAATGGTTTTCTCTGCAGCCACTACAGACATGCTTTCTACTTCATATCAGAAATGTCTTTAAATTACTTGATTCTGCATCACTCCTGTATTAAGCAATGATGTGAACTGGTCTTGGTATGACTTTAGTGTGTTGGTTTGGGTTTTTTTTTTGTTTGCTTCTGGTTGGTTGGCTTTTTCCCTGCCTCACTGACCTTGCTACTAACATCCTTGTTATACTCCACCACTAACTGCACCCGGAAGCCTGGCCCTTGGTGACCACATGTATTGCTCTAGTTGGTGTTGGGGGTAAGGAGAGCCTCTCTCCAGTAGTGTTGAAACTATTATAATAGGCTTCCAAGCAGGGCTACCTTGTTCTATCAGTCTCTTGGAGCACCACTTATATTATAGTGCTTTTATTCTCCATTTGCAATCTAGGAAGGCAGGCTTTTTAATCCTGCTATTCCATGGATGTGCTGTGTTACTTTTGGCAAGTGAATTATCCTTCCTCTGCTGTATTTCTCATGTGTAAAATGTATATAATAATATCTACCTTCTAGATTTTTTGTAAAAATCAACTGAGGTAACACTTGGAATGCTCCTTGTGGGGTACATAGTAGAGGCTGAAGGAATTACATTGATTTGTTGTGACACTGATATGCACAATACACACGTGGAAGAAAACACGAGGGATTCAGCTGGAAAAGTAAGATAAAACGAGGTTGTAAAAGGCCTTGCATGACCAGATAAGGAGGTAACGTGATACCTGGAATCAAACTCAGAGCCTTTTCATGAGCAGACCAGTCTTGGGTGTCCTTCTCTTAAAGTATCCTTTCCTCTCTTGGCCTCAAACAGTTTCTCAAATCTCACTTTATACCAGAAGTCTTTGGTGAACATTTGAAAATTGGCAGCCAACTCCTACTAAAAGCACAATTCACAAGTCTCTGCTTTCTCTTTCTCTCAACACCATCTACAGGATGCCCTGATATTTTTGTCCTCTAAGTAATGCCAGACAGTTTGGCCTAAGTAGATTCTTGGTTTCACAGGCAACTAATAACTCCTAGCCCTATAGGAGCTTCTTATGCTGAACAAGAAGTTGATTAAATTTACACTCAGGTGCTAATACATTATTTATTTACTTAGTTATGTATTCATTGGTGTTACCAAACATTAAAGTAATTTTTAAAAAAGACTTCTGCAGACCTACTCCTCAGTTTCTGTCCCTTCATAACACAAACCTCAGATCTAAAGGCTTGAAGGTGAGAATAATAAATCAAACACTGGTGTCTCGAATTTGTGCCTCCTTCATAGCTTTAACCTCAAATACAATCAGTTTGCAAGTCAAAACAAGATTTTAGCAACTGCCAACTCATCTTGGCATCTGAAAAATCAAGCTGTGTTCTGATGTTTGCTTCATAAATTAGAACCAACAATAAAGATTCTGGAATCAGGGCTTAAGTGGCAATTTTGTTGATGATGCATGACGCAGAACAGAATGCATTTTGCTCAGCCGCACGGAGCTGCCTTGGCAAGGCTGGCAGCAGTAGGGCGTTTTCTGTGTGGGATGTTAGCTAAGGTTTGCAAAAAGCCACCAATTATATACCTTCTGAGTCAAAGAGATGCTTTTCATAGATATTTATGTACTTTAATGCTAAATGGCCAGAATTCCAGGGGTCATCAAGGACAAGATGATCTTAAATAAAAGTAATAATTTCTGTCCCATTCCAAATTACACAGATAACTTGCATAGGACCATATCAGGGGCAACTACTCTCATAAGCTTTGGGGTAAGGAATTAATTTATCATTGTTAAAGGAGCAACCTGTGTCAGAGAGACACCCAGCACATTGCCTAAGTTCACTTAGGTAACTACAAAGCTGAGACTGATTCCTGATCCATTCTTTCTTTTCTGGCTACCTGGTTCCTGTCTGGGAATGTAATCACTCATTTTTCACCTTTAACTACCTCAACCTGAACCTGCTTGTCTGCCCAATAAGACCTCATTTGTTCCTTTTGATTGCCAGCTTTCCCCAAGGATGCTCATGCTCAAATCTTTACTTCATTCCATTATTGAGTCTTATAATCGAATTTCCATAGTTTCCCACCCCAAAATTAGCCTCTAAAGACCTCTAAATAGTTCCTTTTGAACAACTCAAGGAATATGTGTCATTTCTGTAATTCAGAACTAGGAACCAGATAAATAGGATTCATTGTCATTTTTACCTAAAGATATGCATTGTTCCCTAGAGATGAGAAAACTCTGTTTATTGCTACTTTTGATGACTACTATCCCCACTCTCCCCCTTTCTAAACAAAATACAAGTAGAAAGCAATGGACAAAACTAGAACTTATTCTAGAGTTAAAATTGATATTGGATGAAACAGAACATTTTTATGAGCACCATACCTTGGCTAACCTGAATATCACCACACCCACATGTGCAATTTCTCAAAGGTAGAGAGCAATCCTTACCCCTTACCTCCAGTTTGGTGCCTAAAATTGAGGAGATCAGCAGCAGCTATCTCATGATACATCAGCTATATCAATCACTTTCTAACGGCATATCCCCTGCCCTCCCCTGCCACAGAAATAAACTCTTATCCTGGATTTTTCCTATCCATTATACTTCTGAGAACAGGATCATCCAGGAATGGGTTAAATGCTTTAAATACATGGCATTGTCTCTTACCAAAGGGTATCACTTCACAGTGAAAGTGGGGAGGAAATAAGCTGATGTCCTTTGGGGCTCACTGGAATTATTAGGTAGCCTATCATCTAAAAACACAGCTGTCGGCCGGGTGCGGTGGCTCACACCTGTAATCCCAGCACTTTGGGAGGCCGAGGCAGGCGGATCATGAGGTCAGGAGATCGAGACCATCCTGGCTAACACGGTGAAACCCCATCTCTACTGAAAATACAAAAAATTAGCCGGGCGTGGTGGCGGGCGCCTGTAGTCCCGGCTACTCGGGAGGCTGAGGCAGGAGAATGGCGTGAACCTGGGAGGCGGAGCTTGCAGTGAGCCGAGATCGCACCACTGCACTCCAGCCTGGGCGACAGAGCGAGACTCCGTCTCAAACAAAACAAAACAAAAAACAAAAAAACGAAAAAACAGCTGTCTTTACTTTGAACCAGTGACCCACTTATGGTGCTGTTTCTTCCATAGCCAAATTATACAGGTCTAAGAATCAATCACTTTCAAATTTTGTTTTTCATACCAGTAAATCTAAACCCTGGTGTCCTATAGATTTTAGTGACCAAGAAAATGACATCTCCACTCAGACACACAGTAATACTTAGACCAAATAGTAGTTGAAATTGCCATGTGAACATTTCTATTTTCTTGGACCACTGATTGAACCACTGAGAAATAGTCCCAGTATTGCCCAAATTGATAAAACTAAATATAAGGAGATAATTGGCTTCTACTATACTCCATATGCCAAGAGGGAGTGGGTAGATTTCTGGAACTCCAAGACTTAGAGGGCAACTTTTTTGTATCGCCATATCCAAAGGAAAAGGTTAATGGAAAATGACCTCAATTTCATATTGGCAAGACGGCCAAGAACTCAGACCCCACAGGAACGAAGATCACATCTTTTGAATAAATTCTCTATACTGCTGAGGTATTATCTAAAGGCTAAAGAAATACAGGATATGTGGCAGTAAAAATACTGGTCCCCTCTCTTTTTTCTTTTTAACATGAGAATAATTAATGTAGTCATTGCCAGCTTAATAGTATCCTTTTATCCCACTAGTATATATTAGGTAAATTACTGGTGGTTTTAGCTTCCATTTAATTTACGGATCATGAAAGGGTATGGAGTAACAGCTATATGAGAGTGTGATACAGGTAAAGGAAGAATTAGCATCACCTGGACTGTGTGGATGATGTAAACAAAGGACTTTAGGGGGTCTTCATGATATCACAACCACTGAATTCAGGGACTCTATATGAATTTGGATTTCTTACTATAGATAAGGTAAATGCATTAAAGTCGTATGCATGATTATTGGATCATGTGAGATGCTGGCATCTGTAGAACTATGAGGAAGAAAGCCAGCTCAGAAAACTTTTTAGCCACCTAATTTGCATGCAATCTATTTTAATTATCTTAAGCAACCTACAAGGTCCAACCAAATTAAACATCCTTTTAGAAGAAGGCATTATAGTGCTTACGTATTAGGTACAACGAGAAGGAAAGGAGAAAACATCAAAAAGCACTAGTCACACCTTGCTTCATCTCATACCCTTGGTCCCAAGGTAGATTTCTCTGATCTGTGTATTCCCTAATCTGTTGCAGCCTGCAACAGATTGATCACAATGACCCCTCTAGAACCAAAACATGACTATTGTTTAGACTCTATTATCAGTTGCTTGTTTTATGAAGAAAGTGGAAAGGGTTCAATTTGAGTCTTAGAGTGTCCTCTCAAGATGTACTTTGCAGCAACCATACCTGGATGAGGCTTTCCTGAATGTACCCCTCACTGCTCTCAGCTCCTGACCATTAGGAAAAAAAAAAAAAAAAAAAAAAAAAGCTAGCTTCTTATTATTCTGGTATCTTTCTCCCAAGGTGGGAGGCTTTTCTTTTTAATTGGTTCAAGTTCTTTATCTTACATACACAAATTTGGCAACATTGAAATCAAAACATCTCTCTTGCCAGATCCTGCTAAGCAGCTCAGAATCCTCTTTATCTATTGTATATTTTAAACAAAAATGTTAGCATAGCTGCTGCTTCTCTGTTTCTCAAGGAGTTGTAGATGAGAAATCTAACCACATTCTTCAAATAAACCCTTGATACAGAGGCTGTTTTTACCATTCCTTCCTCTAGCCAGGATGAAATGATTAGAAACTTACTTTGAGGTAGGAAGGCTGTGAGTGGATGAAATCAAAGGGTGATGTATACTGAACAGGATGCTTGAGCTGGCTGCTGTGCCCAGCCTCCCTCTTCTGGCTGTAACTGCACTGCCCAGGCTTCCTGTTCTGGGAAGCAGATAAAACCTCTGGAGACCAGAAGTGGCCTTATGACCATAAGGCAGACAATCCGCAAGCCAATTAGAGAAGTATTTCATAGACTGCTAACAAAGATGAGTTGAGGCAATTCACTGTTAACCCATGGAAAACAGAGCTGAAAGAGTAGGCGGAATTTGCTGGTCAGGAGCAAAGTGATCAGCAAGCATTTGGAGCACAGCAGAATCCTGAGTAGTAGAACAAAAACCCTCAAACTTCTGCTGCTATAAGCCCATGATTTACACACAGAACAACCCCTGATTTAGACACAATGCAACACAATGAGTTATTTGACCTTTAGAATTCTGCATCTTGATTTTTTGGATTGCTCATGTTCCTAATCTGTGTGTATCTTTATTTGAGAAATCTTGAATTGAATGGATTTATATTCTATGCATTAAAGAAGTCTAACTGAATAGGTGCTTTAAAAATTCAGTTCAGTTCAACTCATATTTATTAAGAACCTTCTAGGTTCTAAGCTATGTCCTAGATACTGCAGATACAATGACAAATTGTTCATGAAAGCTTCTGCTTCCAGATTTCTCACTGTCCAGCATGGGAGAGAGAAAATTTCTTCATTGTATTATCTTTCATATTCAGGGCAGTATCTTAGGTTTTGTATCATGTATTAGTTAATTTTATCTTCACATAAATTCCATAAATAAATTGTATTCTCACTTAACACATTGTGAAAAGAAGTTCTGAGGGATTAATTTTCTTACCTAAGACTACAAAACTGGTAACAAGCAGAAAGATAATATAACCTTAGTTGTTCTTATTTAAAATTCAAGCCACCCTCAATACTCCTTGCTGCCTCCCTCACAATAACAACTATTTAATGTATGTTCTATGTTTGACTTCATTTTATCTTACTTAAATATTACAAGGAAGTCTTACTATTCACTCCCACCTTATAGATTTTTTAAAAATTATATTACAGAGGATATAATATAGATGGCAAAGTGACATGTTTAGTGGAGTTATGGCCAAAACCGAGACACATCTGTTTGAAAAGAGTTGTAGAATAGTAGGGAGAAAGCATAAAAGGGTACCATGACCATCTAGTTCCTGTCTTGAAATGTTTCATCTGTGTTCACTTGTACCTAATTTAATTGCAAATTAAAGTAAGGCCCTGTATCTTCTTATAGGTGTCCTATAAATAACTTCTTAGGTATCCTATAATCTACATGAGTAGTCATTTAATTGAATTACAATTCTGAATAGACAGAAGAGTTGCCTAGTAAAGACATCCTAGTATACTTATCCTAGGAAGAAGCCTATTATCCTAATATCTTAGTATGGTACTTTGAATTCTCATTGACTATATTATTTGCAAATATAACTATTTTAGGAAAGAAATGACAACCCAGACATTTTTACATGCTTCCTTGGTATTCACTTCTTGCTTTATGTGTCTCAAAGAAGGAAAGGAGTGAGTAATGCTTGGATTTGAAAGCCAATGTACAAGAAAGGTATGAAGGGGCTTGCCAAGCAATTCCACCTACAACCTAGATCTCTGTTAATTTATTAATTCAACCTGTGGCTCTTGAGCACTATCTATAAGCCAGGCATATTGATGAATGTCCTGCTTCCAAAATCCATATAAGAGCCTCATGTAGGATCTCATGCATTCGCTTACATCTTCCATTCACCTTATAGTTGAAAGAACTTTGCCTACTGAACTGTAAGTATTAAGTAACAGTGTTTGTATATTAGAGATTAGCACCACATACAATTCTCAAATGGAGCTTCTGATTAATATGGGGTACTCAGAGAAATGAACTTAGTTGACAAAATTAAAATGAAAGGCTAAGGAACTTGACATTTTAGTTAGCCTTAACACTTAGATGGAAAATTTTGTGATTGTATTTAAGCTTCTTCAAATATGGAAGATAACTCATAGATTTCCATTTTGCTTTTTCTTAGCAAATCTAGGTTCCAAAGATTGAGAGTAGGAAAATTGAGCCATACAGTATGTAGCGTTTCATCCTCCTCTGCGTGTAAATGGCACCTTCTCTGTCCAGAATGTGTTCCTTTTCCTGCTTTTTCACTTATTGGTGACTAACTTTGCTCCACAGTTCAGCTTCAAAAACCCTGGGAAGAATACCCTAAAACTGTCATCCCTCCCCACATCTGGGGCAGATTACACTCCTCTAGGATTCCGTTGTGAACAAGTAATAAAATGATCACAGAACTTATTGCCCTGTATGGTAATAAGTTTTCTCATCTGTTTTCTTCTCTGTCTTAAGGTTATGACTTGTTCTTTCATCTGGTTCTCTACACCAGGAAAATTTCTGCAACCTAGTAAGCACTCAATAATTGCCTATTAAGTAAATGAGAGAGGATAAATAGCTCACCCAAGGTCATGCAGTTAGTGGCTGAGTTAGATTTGAATCTGAACCTTTTTCCACATATGCTTTCTTACTGTGAAGTATTTTCAAGATAAAGTAAAAGACCCTAGTTGGATAACATCATAATACAGGCTGTGTCTGGCAAGAACATCTCAAGCTCTCATCTTTCAAAGGTATTGTTTATGTTCTCTTTTTTGTAAAAAATGTGAACAGCACAGACAATAGCAGTATGATTAGCAGACAAAGTGATTTTGGCAACATAATCTTGTATGAAGAGCTCCTCTAATGCAAATAATTTTAAATAAAACCTAGTGCATAGTAATTATACTTTTAGTATACATTGATTGGGAAATACACATACACACAACTCCTTGTAATAATTCCACATTCCCTAGAGATTTGCAACCCACAGGTTGAGAGTCACAAGTTTAGTTGAAAAATCACTGAACTGAAAGTAGAGTAACTTGACTTATGGTTCAGCTCTGTTACTGCCTATAGGACCCTAGGCAGGGACTTGACCTCCCAGCTCTTTGAGCCTCCCAGCTCTTTGAGCCTTCCAGCTCTTTCAACTATAAATGAGGCAATAGACTGAAGACGCTTATGTCAGGCTTTGCACTGCACTGCTTCACACCCCCAAGGTGATGTTCACGTAGATTATAAAGCAAATGATGCCCCTTGTAGCCATATAATGCAATAGCATTGCTTAAGAAATTTGCTCCCTTAACAGGTTGACACTAGATTCAGCCCTGCTCTAAATAGACAAAGATTTCAACCATGTCTTCCTAAAAGTGTCAGCCATCCTCATTATCCTCTCATAGTCTTTCACAGCCAACTTGACAACCTGGGAATTATATCAGGCAGTCCTCTGTTCTGATTAGACATTGATACCTTTTATTTGAACCATTCTGACACTTCACTTATACTTTCTCTTTCCTATTGCCTCCTAGCTCATCTACCCTCTTCCAAAACCTTTACCTCTACTCTTTATGGTAAAGGTCTTTTGGAGTTCCCTGGGAATCTTTCTAAGGTGAATCAGGCATTTTAAGGGATTATTAAAAGTTCTGAAGCCTTCCTCCAGAGCCAAATGTACACTTTTTCTCTGAACCACATCTGGCCCTTGTGTCAGTTCCAGGAGAAATGATCAGGAAAATTAGAGATGATAATGACATATTAGCTTATCTCTTCCGTTCCCCTGGTTTGCTATGGAGAAAGGATGACATTGGAAAGGAACTCCTGCCCCCCTGTTCCTCCTGTGGCTCTCACTATTAAACTCTGGAATGTGCCTCTTATTTCTCTTCAAAAATGATTTCTGAAATATAAGTGTTATAAAAAACACATTTAGAAGGAAGGGGAAAAAATACCTGAGAAGGAGGGGGAAAAAAGAAGCAGCAAGAAGGAAGGACCAACCAAAGGGGGAGTCAAGAAAATGCAACACTTGGGGCATTGTAACAAACAGTCTCACATTATTTTATTGAATCCTTTTTTTGAACTTTTATTCTAGGGTCAGGGGTACATGTGCAGGTTTGTTACATAGGTAAACTTATGTCACAGGTGTTTATTGTACAGATTATTTCATCACACAGGTACTAAACCTAGTACAAAATAGTTATTTTTTTTTTTTTTGCGCTCCTCTGCCTCCTCCTACCCTCCACCCTCATGTAGGCCCTAGTGTCTGGTATTTCCCTCTTTGTGCCCATGTGTTGTCATCATTTAGCTCCCACTTATAAGTGAGAACACATGATATTTGGTTTTCTGTTCCTGTGTTAGTTTGCCAAGGATAATGACCTCCAGCTCTATCTATGTTCTCACAAAAGACATGATCTCATTCTTTTTATGGTTGCATAGTATTCCATGGTGTATAGTTACTACATTTTCTTTATCCAATCTGTCATTGATGGGCATTTGGGTTGATTCCATGTCTTTACTATTGTGAGTAGTGCTGCAATGAACATACACATGCATGTGTCTTTATGGTAGAATGATTTATATTCCTCTGGGTATGTACCCAGAGGGTACATTGCTGGGATTGCTGGATCAAATGGTAGCTCTGTTTTTAGCTCTTTGAGGAATCCCCACATTGCTTTCTACAATGATTGAAGTAATTTACACGCCCATCAATGATGTATAAGCATTTCAAGTCTCCTCTCTCCATATCTCAGAAGATTCTTCACAAATCCTATTCTTTACTCTTTGTTAAATAAATTCCTCCATTTATGCATTGTATACATGTCCCGTTTTGGCCATCCTGGTCTGTATATCATAGCCTTAAGTTCCAGTGCCAACCATTAGCCCACCACATTGTCTATGTCTTTCTTTGATGAAATTCATAAGATTAATAGACTAATTGGATCCTACCTAGTTGATAAATTAGCGGCCTTAGATCAACATTCCACCCACATCTAGCTAAATGTAGCCAGTTACAGAGATCTAAGAGCCAGTATATATCATGCTGGGAAAACTCCGTTTCCTTGTTCAGACCAACTCGTGTTTAAATCTAGATTTGTCTACTTACATACTGTCTGACCTTGAGCAAACAGCTCAATCTCCATAAGACTCTACTTCACCCTTAAAATAGGAACAATAATAGCATAAGAGATCTTCAAAAAGTTTGTGGAAAAATAGAATTAAAAGATAAATAAAAATATAAACTTTATTTCTCGACATAAGCTCTATCAAGTTCAAGAGACTTTTATAAGTGATGCTACCAGCCATTTAGTTTGTCTCTAAAGAACTGAAAGTCTTGGGAATTTAACCATATCAATGCAATCTTTTTTACATTACTAACTGAAAAAAATGGGTGTCCTTTACGGATGTTTTAAGATTGAAAAACAAAAAGAAGGCAGAAGGAATCAAAGCAGGACTGGAAGGTGGATGCATAATAATTTCCCATCAAAACTCAAAATTGCCCTTTTCTGATGAAAGGAACGAAGAGGAACATTGCTGTGGTGAAGAAGAACTCTCTGGTGAAGGTTTCCTAGGTGTTTTTCTGCTAAAGCTTTGGATAACTTTCTCACAGCCCTCTCATAATAAGCAGATTTATAGTTTTTTGGCCCTTTGGACAATCAAAAAGCAAAATACCTTGAACATCCCAAAAAACTCTTACCATGACCTTTGCTTTTGACCAGTTTGCCTTTGCTTTGACTGGGCCTCTTTCTCCACTTGGTAGCCATTGTTTTGACTGTGACTTGTCTCCAGTGTTGTACTGGTAAAGCCATGTTTCATCTTCTGTTACAATTCTTCAAAGAAGTAGTTCAAGATTTTGATCCACATGTTTAAAATTTACATTAAAATCTCCATTCTTGTCTGTGGCTGATCTGGATGCAATGGTTTTGGCTCCCATTGAATGGAAACATTGAGTTGAACTTTAATTTTTCAGTCATAATTGTGTAAGCTGAACTTAGTGAGTGAGATGTCTGTGGTGTTGGCTATTGTTTCTTCTATTTATCATCGGTACTCTCCAATTAGGATAGAAACAAGATGAAGTTTTTCCTCACAAATTGATGAGGAGGATCTACTGCTGAGGGATTCATCTTCCACGTAGTCTTGTCCCTTCTTTAAAATGAGTTATCCATCTACAAATTGTTCATTTATTTGGGTCACTGTCGCCATAAACTTTGTGTAAAGCATTTAATCATTTTATTATTTTTCATCCAAGCTTCATGATAAATTTGATGTTTGTTCTTCCTTCAATTTTAGCAGAATTTATGTTGCTCTGATGGGGTCTCTTTTGAAACTGATGTCTTATTCTTCTTTGTGCCTCAAACTGAATTCTGTTTAAACATGTTATAATGAGCTAGCACAAGTTTATTTTTGTGAGGAAATTGTTTGGGATTCATGAATAGTTTTTTATAGTACATATTTTCCATAAACGTTTTTGAAGTCCCCTCATGTAAGACCAAACTGAGGGTCAGGCTGCTTATTCTTGTGGCCCAATAATGAGATGCAGATGAACTGGGAAAGAAGAGATTTTATTTCTGCAACCAGGTACAGGGAGTAGGCCTGGAAAATATTGCCAGATCAACTCAAAATTACAAAGTTTTCCAGAGCTTATATACCTTCTAAGCTATATGCCTACGTGCAAGCATGCATTCATCTAAAGACATAAGTGATTAACTTCTTCTAATCTGTAACTAAGATCTGAGTCCTGAAGACCTTCCTCTGGAGCCTCAGTAAATCTACTTAATCCAAATGTGTCCAGGTGCTGGAGTGATTACCCTTGTTTTGTCTCCTGCTAAATCATGGAGGTTTGGGCATTTCCTTAGACCTTTAGACCTCCCCCCTCCCCCGCCAATAAACTTGTTTGTGGAGGTCTGGGGAGTTTCTTCAGGCCCCCAATAAAACTTGTTTAATCCTAAGTGGGTCTTGTTAAGAATTCCTTCATTATCTTGTCATAGACCCATTTCAAGACCCAGGAAAGGCCTGGGCAAAACTTTTGGTGGACATTTGTTACGTTCCAGACTTTGTAAGGGCACTGGGTCTATCAGCTTTTAATATTTAACTTTACCACTCAGTCAGTGCTAAAACAGTTGTTACAGAGGCCTGCATTAGTGCGACATGACCTGCTACACTCATTTTTTTTCATAGAATTGTTACAAGAAGTGACAAATACGTAAATCACGAAGCATTTATTAAGTAATCAAAACCATTGACTAGTATTACTGTTTAAAAAGGTTGTACTTCTAAGGCTGTAAGAGAGAAATTTATCTCCTTTATCTTCATTTCTTCACCTAATTTTTATTTAACTTTCAGTTCTCAGCTCAGCTATCATTTCCTCTGCAATGTGCATCACCTAATATCCTTTAAGATTTTTTTTTTTTCTTTTGAGATGGAGTCTCGCTCTGTCGCCCAGGCTGGAGTGCAGTGGTGCAATCTCAGCTCACTGAAAGCTTCGCCTCCTGGGTTCACGCCAATTCTCCTGCCTCAGCCTCCTGAGTAGCTGGGACTACAGGCACCCGCCACCACGCCTGGCTAATTTTTTTTTTTTTGTATTTTTAGTAGAGATGGGGTTTCACCATGTTAGCCGGGATGGTCTCGATCTCCTGACCTCATGATCTGCCCACCTCGGACTCCCAAAGGCCGGGGATTACAGGTGTGAGCCACCGTGCTGGCCAGCTTTAAGATCATTTATGTGTTCCTCCTACCCATTCAGATTCTTTATCAAATACATATCACGCTGTTCTAAAGTTACCTATTTACTGTCTATCTTTACAACTAGTATATAAAACACCTTAGCTTACGGAATGTGTGCTAGTCACCATTATATCACCAGGAGCTAGAACATCATGGCATGCAGTAGTGCCCAATAAGTACTTAATATACTAAATGAATGAACAAACTTCATAAAACACCACCTCACCTCAGAAAAAAAGTATATTGGGAAATGCAGTTCTGTAAGAAAAATAAAAGCAAGTTCCATCTAAATATCACCAATTATCACATTCTGGTTGAATTGAAACCATTATTTTCTCCTCAGGAGTGTTTCTGATTAACTATGTGACTTTAGCCCAGGAATCACCAAGCAGAAAAGCAAAAGTTAAAGTAGGTGTGTAATCTTTATCTAACAGATGACAAAATTACTTGCTTTTGCTGTGTCTTCATTTTCAAGTGTAGCCAAGATTCCCACTGAGAAAGAGAATTCAGGAGTTTATCTCTCACCTTTGTGAGCAACTTCCACCCCCTCCATCAAAGCTCCATGATGTCACTGTAAATGTCCACTTCCTGTTGCAGACAGCTACTCACTTATTGTTTCTGTTTTGTTAAGTTCAGAGGTCATGAAGTTCTCACTTGTGGGCTTTGTGCTGGGCATGCAAGGTGCAAGAAAAGGCAGCAGACTTACTTCCACGAACAGCTTTTTGCCATTTGTAAAAACCCTCTTTGTGAAGACCAACAAAAGAGGCCATGAATTTGAAGTTATGTTAGTCTTTTAAATATTCAATACCATATTTGTCCAATGGGAAGGGTATTAGAGGTTTTCTAGAAATAAATGAGTAGAATGCTTCATTGACTAGTACTCAAACTTTTCCCCAACTACCTTACCTTAAGTTGAAATAACTTGCAAAATCGGGGGACAGAGTACTGGGCCAAAGACAATAGACAATGTATGTATTTCCTAATCAGGCATGCAGTAGAGATAGGACATGCTATAAAGATGGCCCATAACACTGCCTGATTACATGCACCCACCACTCATGTTAATTGTAGAGCAATCTATATCACCACTATCAGGGTTAGTGGGGCAGCAATAGCCCTACTACGAGGCCAGACTTTCTCAAGCATGTGCAGAACTCAGTGTGAACTGGAATTCTGACTTGTATTTTTCTCTTTTCTTTTGGAAAAGACAGTCACGAAGCAGTTTCTATGACTTTTGTCATTCCCATATCCTACTCAAAAGGATTTAATAGACTGGTTATGCAAATACTAAACATTGGATTAAAATATATGAGAAGTGCTTTTCAGTCATTTCTATAACATTCATTGTTGGTGTTTTAAAATTCTTCTCTCTGAAGAATTCAAGCCACATTGCAGGCATTACCTAATTCAACCTGCCAGTGCTGAGGGAGATATCAGGTTAGTATCATTCTTTTCTGTTTCATCTCAAGGGAAACTGAAGCACGGAACATTGTCCAGAATGTATATGAATCCATAATACAACAAAAACTAAATCAGAGAAAGTCTGGAACCCTACCCAGAAAGTTCAACTAGAATGCCTCATGTAAAATTGTTATCAATGTCCTAACTGAATGTTGCAACATTACAGCACAGAGCTTACACTACCCTCATAATATAAAATTGCAGCACCCTTATTTGGTAAATAAGAGAGGCTCTTAAAGCTCTCAAAGTAGGTTGAGAATCAGTTCTAGGGTTGAGGCAGTGCCTCAGGGGACAGCAATGTTATAATGCAGTGCTTTCCAGAGTGTGTTCTGGAAAAAAACCTCAAATTAGGTTTTACAAGAAAAGGTCAAATAAATATAGGAATTGCCACATGTATAACTCCCTTTGAATATTTACACTAGCATACAAAAGAACTTTGAGAAACCCTGCAGAAACCCTGCAGTACAAGAATATGCCAAAAAGATATGTATCATTTTTCTTTGTAAACAATGGAAACAGGCTTTGGTTAACTTAACCAAAAAGAAATTTTTTGGAAGGATATTGGACAGATTGCATGGATTCTACTTGGGAATGAAGAAGTCCTCTAGAAGGACAAGGGCCAGTCAAGGCTCATTTAGGCATTTTAACCAAAATTTATGGATTTTCTTTAGGCCACGTCTGTCAAATAACATGGCTCCAGATTTCTTCCCCCTTCCATTTCCATGTTTACTTTACTTGACTAGAGAGTCTGGCTGGCTTATTGAGGAATCAAGAAAAAAAAAAAAAAAAAAAAAAGAAAACCACCTCTGCCCTAGAATATGTCACTGAATTACAGTTTGACCTCAAGCAAATCACTACATGAAGTGATTACTATGCATAATGGACAAAATTATTTCAACAATTGTTTATAGCTCTAATATTATCATCTAAGTTGAATTTTAAGCCTTTAACATTTCTTGATGGTCTTAAGAAACCCCCCCCGAATGTTTCTTTGGTTATTTTCCCAAACCTCTTTTTAAACTGTGCTGCACTGTGAGGCATTTAGTTTTATTTTTCTCTGTTGTGTTTTCTTTGGGAAATCTGAAATGTGGTCAAAATAAAGCAAAGAGGGACTTGACCTCTAAAATGGAAACTTTTCACTAAAAATTCCTCTTACTATAAAAACCAGTAACAAAAAGTAAGTGAAAAAACAAAGATGGAACTTTATTTTACATATTGATTCTAAGTCCCAAAACTGTATGCTTCTGTAAGCTGGCCATGCCCCAGCATTTGCTTGCTGTCACACATGGTAAAAAGATTAGTTGCTTTTTTGGCCAGTTTAGGCTTAATATTCCCTATAAAGCTCTAATGAAAAAAAAATTGTAGGCAGAAAGAAGAAAGCTCTCTCTTCAACCTCTCTTTTTTACCCCCCGAAAAGGAATATTTATCATGTTTCAGGTCACCAGCTGAGAGGCATTTACAAACTATAGGTTATCGTGCATTAAAAATGAAATAAATAGGCCGGGCGTGGTGGCTCATGCCTGTAATCCCAGCACTTTGGGAGGCTGAGGTGGGCAGATCACCTGAGGTCAGGAGTTCCAGACCAGCCTGATCAACATGAAGAAACCCTGTCTCTACTGAAAATACAAAAATTAGCCAGGTGTGGTAGCACATGACTGTAATCCCAGCTACTCGGGAGGCTAAGGCAGAATTGCTTGAACTCGAGAGGTGGAGGCTGCAGTGAGCCGAGATCGCTCCATTGCCCTCCAGCCGCAATAGAGCAAAACTCTGTCTCAAAAATAAATAAATAAATAAATAAATAAATAAATAAATAAATAAATAAATAAATAAATGTGGTTCTGTTCTTTTCGACTTTTATCCACACAGTCATTGCAACAAAATGACCCATGACCTTTTTTTTATTTGCAAGGAAGCTCAGCCATGCCTCTGATGTTGTCTGTCTCCTGTACCCTTTCTGTATCTTATAAGTTTTTCCCTGTTGACATACATGTTCTTATCTCTTTCTTCTTTCTATGCAGATAAAGACTAAAGAAGACCATGGCCTTTTCCCCTGAAAACAAGCCTAAGGTTACGTAAGATTCTAATATTAGGATAGGTGGTAGAAATAGGTTGCCCCCAAGTCAAACAACCCACTCTAATAGAGTTTACAATATTTCTACTTGGAAGATTGGATTCAACCTACCAACAGTGAACTATGAATTTGTTTCCCTTTGCTGTGATTTCTGTATGAAATATGATATACAGAATGGTGTCATTCTGGTTCAGACTTCTAAAATGGATTTGGGTGTAGTCATTCTAAGAAAGACTGCCTGCACAACCTGCAACCTTGAAAAAAAAAACCAAAAAACAGTAACTTGGTTGAACCATTTGACTGAACCAAACTGCCACAACCCCAACATCCTGAAAAATAGCTGAATTTCACCAGTGCTGCAAGTCTTGAATAGCAAAAACCAATGAACTATGGACTTGTGTTTAAGCCAGTTGCCTTTGTCAATAATAATTATTTCAAAATAACTTATGTAATCACCCTCTGCTTCCTTTTAAAAATCCCTGCCCCACTCCCTCTCTTCAGAACACAATTTGGCTTCCAGACAGATCTGTGTCTCCCAAATTGCAATTCCTAACACCCCAATTGTCTTACTCATTTGCAGTCTGTTCTTTCACCTCTTCTTGGTTGACACTTATTTGTATATTCATTTCTTCAAAAATGCTTATTAATAAAATACACTAATGTGAACTAGGAGATACAATAGTATAACAAAAACCTGACTATTGATCTTGGAGAGCTTGAAATTCTATAGAAGACTCAAAAATCAACCATATGTGGAAAGATAATATTTTGATAAACAACCAAGTTGATTTTTTTTTCTCAAAATTATCCTTTTTGTCCCAGGAGAGGATTAATCAGCTTGAAAAAAAATAGTAAGCTGAGTGTCTGAATGGCTTTTTTAAAAGCTAATTACAGGAATAATTGCCTTGAAAGCCAATGAGAAGAGGCTTAAAATGAAAGCTTTACTCTGAATATCAAGAGTAGGCAATATATTAAGGAGATGGGCACAAAGTTTATCCATAACTTTCTATTAGAATGGCATTCAATGAAGTTGATGGCCATACCACCCTATATGCACCCGATCTTTTCTCATCTCAGACGAAAAGCATTTAATAAGAAATATTTCCACTTTTTTTGCCTGGAAATAGGAGCTTCAGAACTGAAGGAGAGAGCAAAAGAGTAACCCTGTGGTTATTATGGATTGCACAGAAAGGGCCCCATGACTCTGCTTCCTCTGAGGCAAAACCACAGAAAATTAGGCTAGAGCATGATCTCCCTGCCTTTGTTGCATCCTGGGAAGAAGGCAAGACTTACAGGAAAGCCAGATTCTACATGGCACCACAATCCTGTGGCTGAGTAAGATGTCTAGGATAATGGGCCTGCAGGCAGCCTCACAGAGTGCAGCAGACTCTAGTGGGATATTGTCTTAGTCCATTCTGGTTGCTTTAATGATATACCACAGACTGGATAGCTTATAAACAATGGAAGTGTATTTCTCACTATTCTGGAGGCTGTAAATTCCAAGATCAAGACAGATTCAATGTCTGGAATGGACCCACTTCCTAGTTCATAGATGGTACTTTATCACTGTGTCCTCGAATGTTGGAAGGATTGAGAGGGGATTTCTCTTCTTTAATAAGGGAACAAATCTCATTCATATGGGCTCCACCCCATGACATAATCACCTCCCAAAGGCCTTACTTCCTAATACCATCACCTTAATGGTTAGGATTTTGATATATTTTGTGGGGGCACCAACATTGACCGTAGCAGAAATAGAAAATCAACTAAGTTTGAAAGCAATCTTCCTCACTCCCAGCCCTTGCCAACCAAAAGAAAATCAAGTCCTAAAATCAGTCCGGTAGGTCTCCAGGGTAGGACTGAAAAAGCACAGACAGCATGGATGTCCCAATAAGAGATTATTGCAGGATCAGGAGTAGCAGCAATGAATTCCAGCATAAGTAGGAACAAATTGATCTCAGCACAGGTTAGAGAGAACCATTGTGAATAAGGTATCCCTTTACCTCTCAGATCCAAGAACTCATTTCCTCCCGGGAAAAGGGAAGAGATGGGGGAGAGAAGGCCCTTAAGTTGAAAGAATAGTACTTTTGTGAAAGGGACTAAAAAAGTTGTAAGAAGATTGTAGCAAGCTTTAATTGCACCACAAATGGAATCCCAGGAGCTAAATCCTGTTGGACAGAAGTGAAGGAAATTATGTCTTTGTACACATTTGTACTTTGTGACTGTGAACATTCATAATAGCACAATTTATAATTACAATATAAAGGTACTATAAAGAAAAAGTATAAAGTGTCATGCAAGTGTACAATAGGTCTTTTCTGGGGTCTATGAAGTGGTTTCATGGACTCTGTAGAATTGACATTTGGGATGAGACTTGAAGGATGTATGGCAGGTATGCAGGAAAATAGAAGAAGAACACTTCACACACATGGAACAGCAAGTGCAAAGTCCTCAAGACAGGAAGAAATATGATATATCATTTGAAGAGAAAATCAGCCCAAGAGGCTGTAAGATGGAGAACCTACAGAGGTACAAGAAGAAAGCAAGACAGAAGGGTTGGGGAGGAGGAGCAGGAACCAGATCCTGCAGGAACTCTTAAGCCTTATTATGCATATTGCTCTTTGTGCTAAGGATGACCCCTTGAAGTATTCTAAGTGTGAAACTGATCAACTGATCCAATTGAATTTATGTCTTGTAAGTAGTACCCTATCAAAATATGAGAAATGGATTATAGGTGGGTAATGATAAAGGCATGGAGACTGTTTGGGGGCAAGTGCAGTGGGGTAGGGATGAGATGATAGAAAAGGACAGGAATAGAGGTGAAAAATGCAGATACATGTGAACAAAATTAAATGTTAAAAATCAAAAGGACTAATTGAAATGAATTGCAAATAGGAGTTGGGAAAACAGAAGGATTCTGTCCTTGACATTGACATTGACAGCCATGTTTGAACATTCTTACAAACCTTGGTATTAATACTACCAGAATCCTATTATTCCTTTTCATGCATATGACAGTAATCCTGAATATTTTCCTGAATATTCTGAATATCATCCTGAATTGCTGAATCCTGAATCATCCATCAATCCTGAATATCATTCATGAATTGTGCTTCATCTGACTTCCTAAAGATAATGGTTTATAGTTCAAAGTTTAAAAAGCAGTTTATCTAAAAGAATGCTTGAAAATTACTGAAGCTAAAATTAATCATCCTACATTTAAGCAAGCAATTTAAAAACTTGTTTTCAATTTCCAGGTTATTTTTAAGATGTAAAATGACAATTTCCATTGTATGTTTCTCTTCTACTAAGGGTAAAGTAGTCCACATGTACACATACAAACCTTCAAATATGCAGAGTTATCACACACAGAAGTAATTTATTGCCGTTTTTCCCCTTAGCTTTCTCCTTGGTTTCACTTCTCATTTGTTTACTCAAACTTTAAGAATATAAATATGCTCAAATGGAGTAAAATACTGTACTTCTTTTCAGTGTTCAGGAAGTGGAATATGTACTTTCAGAACTTCTTTTCAAAATGGTAGACACATCTGTACATCTGTGGGGTAACAAAGAGACACATTAAAAATTCTGCGCTTGTCTAGACTTAATCAAACCCATTTCACAGTAGGTGTTAAATGCTTCTAATTAAAGTATTTAAGAAATTTTTAAAAATTCAAGAATGGTTGCAAAATGTAAACATTCAAAAATCAAAATTTTTATTTTCCCCAGGCTCCACTTTGGTCTCCATAGTAACAAGAATACTTACTGGCTTGATTCTCTGCTAATTGATTATATATATGTACACAGACACGTACAAAATGTGTATATGTATATATATACACACATGAAATGTGTTTGTATATATATATTTATATTATATATATATAGAGAGAAGAGAAGTATTAGCAGAGGAAACAGGCTGTCTAATCTATATTCTTTCTTCTCCATGCTTCCCCATATCTCTCTTCTTTCTCATAGCCTCCTAACCAAAATAGATTGATCTTTTCCAGGTGGCATTAACATTTCCAGGGGACTCTTCAGTGGGTATGATGGACTGGAATGAGAACGTGAACTGCTTCTCACAAAGGGGATAGGCTACAGAATTTGACACATTATTATGTCATTTGCCAAAATGGGATAAATTGCAAGACTTCCCTTCCATTAGACAAGATAGACACCCTCCCTTTTATTTAAGCTAAAGTATTGCCACCTGAACACATTTATCTGAAGACTGCACTGCACAGAAAGGCAAAGATGACTCCATAGAACGGGTCTGTCTGCTTTCATTCATGGATGGTAGTTAGGAATTAAAAATTAATCTCATTGCAAAGGCTTTTTCCATCTCACTCCTTCATTTCTTTCTCATTGCTTCACCTGTGCCTCACTGCAACTCCTTTTTACAGTTATACAAAAGGCACACCCTTGTAAGTCCTCCTCAACTTCATTTTTCTTGATCTCAAACCAGGAAAAAACAATTAAATATTTATTTTCTCAGTATTCTATTTAGACAAAAACCACTGTAGAAAAATGAAAAAAGAAAGATTCAAGACACTTGAGAGTGAAACAAAAAAGTGAAATAAAAATCAAGGCTTGAAGCAATATGGTACAGAATTTTAATTCACCTTGAGGATCATTCATTTCAAAGCTCTAGTGAATTTTCTAAGACTGTAGTATCTAGTTCTATTCTTCCACAATATTAGAGTGTTAAATGCAATGCTATCATAGGAACTGATGACTCAGAGGATTTGTTTGTTTATATAAACTGTTTATCAGAGGAAGTATTTTGGGGGTATGTCTTATTCTCATCTGAACTCCAGATTATTATTTCACCAATCTCAGTTGTTATACAAACTTCTGATAGCAATTTATTGGATGTTACAGAAGCAGCCACTTCCCTTCACAATTTTGTAGAAATATAAAAAAGTACTTTGTTTTCACTGTTTAGTCATTATAATTGCTCAAGTTTATTAATGGTATATGACTTTATCTCATTCATTTATCAGGTTAAGCTAGATTATAATGTTGTAATAAACAACTCCAAAATCTCAGTCACTTAAAATAACATAAGCTAATTTATTGCTCATGGCACATATTTAGCTTGATTTGGTAAGGAAGACTTTGCTCATGATAACTGTTCAGGGCCCAAGGCTGATGGAGTTCACCACTTTAGGATGCTACCACTGCAGAAAGAAGTTTGAGGGACTCCATGGTAAGGGAAAGAAGAGCTAGAGAATTAAGCACTATCATTACATGGCTCATCCTGGAAGTGATACTGCATACTTTTGCTCATATTTCATTGGCTTTTAAGCGGTAGACAAGTAAATCAAGGAAACCCTAAAATTGACAAATATTGAGAATGTCTACATCCTTCTTCTCCAGATAAAGCTGTTTGGGGTTCTACCTCATAGATAGCAGGTCCCAGGCGGCTCACATGATTCCTGCCCCCTGGTGTTCATGCCCTATAGAACCCTTCAGGCCTTGTGTTTGGGCTGGACCTGCTGATATAGTTTAGCTGTGTCCCCACCCAAATCTCACCTTTAATTGTAATAACCCCCACATGTCAAGGGTGGGGCCAGGTGGTGATAATTGAATCATGGGGGTGGTTTCCCCCATACTGTTCTCGTGGTAGTGAATGAATCTCATGATGTCTGATTGTTTTATAAATGGGAGTTCTCCTGCACAAGCTCTGTCTTTCCTGGTGCCACATAAGACATGTCTTGCTACCCCTTCACTTTCTTCCATGATTTTGAGGTCTCCCCAGCCATGTGGAATTGTGAGTCAATTAAACCTCTTTCCTTTATAAATTACCCAGTCCCAGGTATGTCTTTATGAACAAGGTAAGAACAGACTAATACACCTGCATATTAGTTTGCCAGGCTGCAGTACCAAAGTACCATAGAATGGATAATTTAAACAAAAAAATTAATTTTCTCAGTCCTGAAGGCTTGAGATCTGAGATCAAAGTGTTGGCAAGGTTAATTTCTTCTGAGACCTCTCTTCTTCGGTTATTAATACCCATCTTCTTGTGTCTTCACAGGGTTTTTCTTCTATATATGGCTGTGCCTCATCTCCTCTTCTTATAAGGAGACCAGTCATATTGGATTAGAGCCCACCATAATAAACTCATTTAAACTTACTTACCTCTCTAAAGGCACTATCTCCAAATTTAGTCACATTCTGAGGTACTGTGTGTTAGAGCTTCAACATGAATTTTGGGAAGGACAGAACTCAGCCCATAACAACCTGTGACATGTCTCTAGCCAGTAGAATATGACAAAGGTGATGGGGTCTTGTGGATGTAATTAAGTCCCAAATCAGTTGATTTTCATTTAATCAAAGGGAAAATTACTCTGGATGACACTGTGTTAATCAGACCTAATCCATTAAAAGGAAGACTGGGCTTTTTCTAGGAAGAGAAACTCCCCTCATAGCCTTCATGAAGTAACCAGCCATGTGTCAAATAACTGTAGATGACCTCTAGGACCTAATGGCAACTACCAGCCAATAGCCAGCAAAATTCTGGGGCCCTCAGTCATACGGCTGCAAGAAAATTAATTCTGACAACAACCTGAACTAGCTTGGAGATGAATTCTACCCGTTTGGCCTCCAGACAAGAATGCAGCCTTGCCAGCACCTTTATTATAGCTGTGTAAGATCCTGAGCACCAACTGAGCTGTGTTCAGGCTCCTGACCTATGGAAACTCTAAGATAATAAATATGTGTTTTTTAGCTGCTAAATCTGAGATGATTTGTTACTCAGCAATATAAACTAATACATAGCAGTAGTGTCTTTGTTCCCATTTGAGGTGTAGCAATCTGACAACTTGGAAATGTGATTTTAGACAATAATTTACCCAACTTTAAAGGGTGTTTCAACGTGTGTGTGTGTGTGTTTTAATAGCCTCATTCCTAGTTCCTGTGATGCCTCTAACATTATTTTCTCTTTGCCTCATATTTCTTTCCTAGTGTTCATTATCTTTATTTTTAACTATTATTAATATTATTTTTGATTGACAAATATTAACGGTATATATTTATGGGGTACAATGTATTGCTTTGATATACATGTACAGTGTAGAATGATTTAATCAAATTAGTTAACATATTTATCACCTAATTTGCCTGTCATTCTTATAGTGAGACATTTTAAATTCACTCTTATTTGAAATATGTAATACATTATTATTGACTATAGTCATCTTGCTGTGCATTAGATCTCAAAACCTATTTCTCTTGTTTCTTCAAAACTTTGTAGGCTTTGATTAATAACAACTTCTCATTCTCTCCTTCCCTACACTCTCAGCCTCTGGCAACCATTGTTCTACTCTCTACTTCATAAATTAAACTTTATTTGATTCCACATATAAGTGAGATCATGTAGTATTTGTTTTTCTGTGCCTAGCTTATTTCACTTAGCACATAGTGTCCTCCAGCTTCATCCATCTTGTTGCAAATGACAAGACTTCTTTTTTTAAGGCTTAATAATATTCCATTTTGTAAATATAGTCATGTACTGCATAATGATGTTTTGATCAGGACAGACCACATATAAGATTGTGGTCCCATAAGATTAGTTTGTGTATTAGTTTTTTTTGTGCTGTAACTTTTCTATAGTGAGATGTAATTAGATACACAAATACTTACCATTTTGTTACAATTGCCTAAAGTATTCAGTATAGTAACATGCTCTAAAGGTTTGTAGCCAAGGAGGTATAGACTATACTACACATCCTAGGTGTGTAGTAGGCTATACTTTCTAGGTATAAATACACTCTATGATGTTTGCATAACAATGAAATTACCTAACACCACATTTCTCAGAATGTATCTCTGTTGGTAAGTTAAAAATGTGACTATGTCACATTTTCTTTATCAATTTATACACTGATGAACATTTATGTCCTTCTCATATCTTGGCCATTGTGAACAATCTTGCAATGAACATGGGAATGCATGTATCTCAACATGTTGATTTTATTTGTTGTATATATTTAGGTGCTCCACTATTGGGTACACATATATTTACAATTATTATGTCTTCTTGGTGAATTAACCCCTTTATCATTATATAAGGACCTTCTTTTTCTCTTTTTATAGTTTTTGACAGTCTATTTTGTGTGGTGTAAATATAGTTACCTCTCTTCTCTTTCAGTTTCCAATTATGTGGAACATCTTTTTCCATTTCTTCATGTTCATTCTTATATGTATCTTTATTAGTAAAGTGAATCTCTTGTAAATTGCATATGATTAGATATTGCTTTTAATCCATTCAGCCACTCTACATCTTTTTGTTAGAAAATTTAATCAATTTACATTCACAGTAATTATTGATATGTAAGGACCTGCTACCATCATTTTGTATTTTGTTTTCTGACTGTTTTCTGCGTCTTTTGTTTCTTTCATCCTCTCTTGCTCTCTTTCTTTGTGGTTTGATGGTTTCCTGTGGTGGTTTGCTTTGAATCCTTTTTATATTTTGTGCAACTACTATAGGTTTTTTTCTCTGTGGTAAAAATGAGGCTTATATATCCTCAAAACAGGCTACCATAAGCTGACAACAACTTCACTTTAATCACCTAAAGTTCTACATGTTCACTCCCTCCCCCCCAATCTTATGTGATTTTGATGTCAAATTTTACTTTTTTGTGATTTGTATCTCTTAAAATGTGTTGTAACTATAGCTGTTTTTAAAAATTTTGTCTCTTATTTTTCCTAATAGGGATAAAATTTCTTTATACGCAACTCTTGAGTATTAGAGAATTCTGAGTGTTACTATGTATTACTTACACTATTGACTTGTTTACTTTTATATGTTTTTGTTATTAATTAGCAGCCTTTCATTTCAGCTTGAAGAACTACCCTTAGCTATTCCTGTAAAACAGGCCTAGTGGTCACGGACTCCCTTAGGTTTAGATGGTCTGTGAAAGTTTTATTTCTCCCTCATTTCTGAAGGGCAGTGTTGCTTGGTAAAATATTTTTTTCAGCATTTTGAATATATGATTCCCCTCTCTCCAGGCCTGTAGGGTTTCTCCTGAGAAATCTCCCGAAAACCAAATTAGGGCTGCTTTGAATGCGATATGTTTCCTTTGCCTTGCTACTTTAAGTATTCATTGTCTTTAATTTTTTATAATTTGTTTGTGATATATCTGGTGAACTCCTCTTTATGTTGAATTTGATTGGTGATCTCTGAGCTTCCTGTTTCTTGATGTCATCTTTCCCCAAATTTGGGAAATTTTCAACTATTATTTATAAAAATATGTTTTCTAGGCCTTTTCTTCTCTCTTTTCCTTCATTAATTCTTATTACGAGAAGGTTAATTTGTGATGGTGTCCCATAATTCCTGTAGGTGTTTTTTATTTCTTTTTTGAAACAGAGTCTCACTCTGTGGCCCAGGCTGGAGTGTAGTGGCCTAGTCTTAGCTCACTACAACCTACATGTCCCAAGCTCAAGTGGTCCTGCCACCTCAGCCTCCCAAGTAACTGGGACTATAGGTATGCCTCACCACACATGGCTAATTTTTCTATTTTCAGATGGGCTTTTTTTCTTTTTGAGACGGAATCTCACTCTGTCGCCCAGGCTGGAGTACAGTGGCACAATCTCCACTCACTGCAAGCTCTGCCTCCCAGGTTCACGCCATTCTCCTGCCTCAGCCTCCCTAGTAGCTGGGACTACAGGCGCCCGCCACCACGCCTGGCTAATTTTTTGTATTTTTAGTAGAGACGGGGTTTCACCATGTTAGCCAGGATGGTCTCGATCTCCTGACCTCGTGATCCACCCGCCTCAGCCTCCCAAAGTGCTGGGATTACAGGCGTGAGCCACTGCGCCCAGCCTCAGATGGGCTTTTTCTTCATGTTGCCCACGCTGGTCTTGAAATCCTGCGTTCAAGCGATCCATCTGCTTCTGCTTCCCAAAGTGCTGGGATTACAGCCGTGATCCCCTTCACCTGGCCTACTCCTTTTTCTTTTTGCTTCTCTGATTGTATAATTTAAAATCTCCTGTCTTCAAACTCATTGATTTTTTTATTCTGTTTGATTAAGTTTGCAGCTGAAGCTTTCTATTGAATTTTCAGGTTATTGTATTATTTATATCTATGATTTATATTTGTTTGCTTTTCTTATAATTATTCTTTTTATTTCTATGTCAAACTATTGTTCATGAATCATTTTGCAAGTTTTATTTAATTTTCTACCCATATTTTCTTGTAGTTCCCTGAAGTTCTTTAAGACATTTATTGTAAATTATTTGTCAGTAATTTTATAGATCTCCATTTCTTCTTGGCAGATTAATAAGCTTTATTAGTTTCTTTTGGTGATGTCATATTTCCCTGATTTTTCATAATTCTTGTGTTTTTATTTTTATACCCCTGCATTTGAGGGGATGGCTACCTCTTTTGGCCTTTGCAGGTGTTCTTTGTTGGTAATAGATGTTTACAATTTAGTCTACCTTGGGATTCTGGATGGACCAGCTGGTAGCAATCCCAGACATGCAGGCCTTGGTGTCAAGTTCTCTAGTTGGGCTGGGTCACTTCCTATAATCAAGTCAAATGGTATGGCTGGCTGCTCTATGGTCCATTGAGACCACTGCCTGTACTCTACCATCAGGTGGGACTGCTGGCTGGACTCTGCAATGGTCTTTGATCAGGCGGGGCTATGGGTTGCTTTCCCTGGCTTAATGGTACTGTTATTTTATATCTATACTTGCGCAAGGCTGTGTGATGGGTTCCAAGGCTGGATGAGGTCTCTGATGTTGCTGTTCAGCCATACAAGATGGCCAAGACGAGAGGCCATTCTCCACAGATATGTTTAGACTTGGGCTTGCCTTCTGACCTAGGGTAGGCTTAAGCAGAACACCAAGGTTTTGTGGAGTCATTGCTCTGCAGCTTGGGTTGAGCAGGGCCAGATGCTCCCTTCATGGGTAATCACGGACCTGCAGTTGCCTTCTGGCTTTGGGAAGACTTAACAAGATCATATGTGCTTACTTGGATCACCTCTCCCTCAGTAGATTTGGACAGAGCCAGATGTTCACTCTGTGAGTAACTGTTGACCTGCAATTGCTTTCCAATCTGGGCTGAACTAACGTGAGCACCAGAACTTAGCTGGGTTATTTTTCTGTCATTAAGATTGGACATTGGGCAAGACCAGATGTTCCACCCATGGGAAATCACAGACCTACAGTTGCCTCACGACCTATGGAAGAGCACCTGGGCTGTGTGGAGAAGATGGATAGGGATTTGACCCTAGAAAACCCATGGAACATGTTTCCTGCAGCATAATACTGTGGCTGGCTTCTCTGGTGTGGCACCTCTGTTGGCTGGAATACAGAGGAACCACCAATATCTCTGTTTTGTCAATGTGAGTCCCACCCATGTTCTTTGTTTCTAACTGAACCCAGGTGGCCTGGCCCTGCCAGATTCCCAATGTTTCCTGTGGGACAAGACTGAAGTAAACCTCCTGTAAAGGTTCCCAGAATGGTGGAGAAGATGGATATCTGCTTCCAACTCACTTTTCCCACTGTAGAAACCATGGGTCCAGGGGAATCCTCTGTAGAGCTCTGCAGGATTGAGGTAGTGATGGCATGGTCAAAGAAACTCATTCTCTTGCTGTTCAATCATAGGTTTTTACTCTGTAGCCCAAGGGAGTGTCTGAGTCTCACTCCCGAATTCTAAGCTATTCATAGTAGTATTCTTGCTTGTGGGTAGTTGCTTGTTTGATTTGGGGGCCACTGGGGAGGGGGTAGGGAGTAAGTGAAGCTGGAGAATTCCTATTCTGCCATGTTTCCGATGTCACTCTTATAATCTAAGTTTCTGTGTCTGTGTGTGTGTGTGTGTGTGTGTGTGTGTGTAACAAAGCAGTCTGTGTATTCTTAAATAAACCCTGTCACTAGATTGTCATGTAGCATTAGATAAGCAATTTGATTGCAACTCCCTCTCTCTCTGTTTTTCCATACAGCTAGTGGAAGCTGTCAAACAAGGCTTGTTGAGCTTGTGGAAAGAATCAGCTTTCAGAAATTGCATCTTGCTACCTAACTGCCATTTCAAGATGGCGTGGAATCCAATATTCATTGAGCATTAGTAGAGGCTGTACTTCCAAGGAACTGGCTTTAGATTGTAAGGAGTTTCAGCAAATGATGAAATAATGTCACAACTGATGCTTTGGGAAACTATAGACCTAGAAAGTTTATGAGGTATTACTTATACATTTAATAAAAGGATTTTAGACTCTTAAAGCAATGTCTGGCATAATAAGTGGCCAAATATGTTTTTTAAATATATGAATGGGCTTTAAATATAATTATTTAGAATAGTCACCCACTTATTCAGTAAACATTTCTGAATGCCTATGACGTGTAAGCCCTGAGCTGTGTGCTGAAAAAGTGTCATGAAAGAAAGAAGGAAATAACTGTTTAAGGCTATGATGAAAATCAGGAAGGTTTAATTTTTTAAAAATAGATTTTAAAAAAATTAAGAGAAAGCTGTCAATTGAAGTTGAGGTGGGGAAAGGTAGTTGGGAAAGAAGGAAAAAAATTCAATGCAGAGGACACCACAGGAGCAAAAACTGGGAGGTGTGAGAGTGACTGATTTGTCTGAGATTGGGAGTCATCCCATATGTTAGCAGAAGCGTCTAAAGGAAGGAGCCATAACTAGGAGCTTTCAGACCAGATTTTATTCATAGACAGATTATGTTTTGACTGTACAATGATTGCTAAATTTTTGAATTAGCTGTCGCATTGAAAAGAGCTTGAAATAATGCATAGCCCATATATGTGTTATGTATATGTTTGCTGGTATTATTGAGAAAAATTAAATTACAGGTAAAACTCTAAATTTCTGAAAGATCAAAACTATGGAACCATGGAAACAGTTTACTGGAATAGCTCCTTCAAAGAGGACTTGCTGCCTTACAGTCACCACACACGATATGCACCATTCCTCAGTCATGCTCCAAGTCATGTCAAACATTTACACCATTCATTTGGTCCCTGCAGGCGTTTGAGCTTTCAGAACCCTGGTCAAGCACTCAAGTTCAGAGTCTATTACTAACAGAACATGTGCTTATATGTAATGCTGAGGAGTTTAAACATTTTCATAAGGACAATAGAGAGCTATAAAAATGATTGTAGTTCAGGGAATAACACCATTTTATCTATGTTACGTTAATACGAGGTTTAACCATATGAACTTGTCTCTTTTTTTACTAGTCAAAAACAGCCAAATATCAGCAATTTTCTTTGGTTGTAACTAATGCAAGCATCATTTTAGTTACATGTAGTAAATGTACTAGAAAAGAGAAATGAGGAAAAATTGAAGGTAGAAAAACTAGATAAGAATAAATTATAATGACTGATACAAAATAACGACAGCCCAGATTTGGCTAACGTGAGATAATGGCAGTGGAAATGAAGCAACACCATAATTCCCTTAGACAGCTTTCCTACTACCTAGAATTTCATACATCATATTACATAAAATTATCTGAAGAACAGTCAAAGTCTAGAGGAGAAGATAAGTTTTGCCTTCATCCTTGTAGCTACTGAAAAGTACAAATAACAGCAATAAATCACATTATTTTAAAAACTGAATTCAAATGACACTTTTCCCAAGGATGTCCAGATATTTATAAGCCATTAGCTCATAAATCAGAGGGCATCTTACATACATTAGCTATTTGCCTACTCTCTGCCTCATTTTTCTTATCTGGAAGAGAAATAATAGCAGCTACTTAAAAATATATTGTAAGGAATGAATGAATTAATAAATAAAAAGTGGTTCAAACATTGCTTAGCATATAGCAAACACCCAATAAAAGTTGACCTTATGATTATTACCATTATTTTTAGCAATTTTGTTAATTTACATATGAGAAAAATTAATGCATAGAGAAATAAAGTAATTGATTTGAGCTGTTCCAGGGAGTCAATAACGAAGTCAAAACTAGGATGTAGTGAAGAAGTCCTGAGAGTAGTGAGAAGCAAGAATATAGGACTGAAAGATGGAAAGTCCCCATGAATATGAAGCGTTGCTGTAGTTGGAGTTTACAAAGGGTATTAGCCATAGAGATATAAGGTGGTGGTGCTTAGACAGTATATAAACTTACACCTAAAAAGGTGCTACAGTTGTTGGTAATGACAAGATGTAGGGTATGACCGTGATAGTATGTAAAGTAAAGCAGAATAAAATTATTAGAGAAGATTTCAAAAGACTGAAAAGCCATGGTTTTGTGATGATCATTACTGTGTATATTGAAATTATTAAAGAAGTAAAAAAGGGTTAGTGTTGGAAAGGGAAGATGATGCAGAAGCTAAAATCTTTGAGAAATGAGAGGAAGTGACCCAAGAAATGGAATAATGAGTGGTATAGTCTGGAGACATCTAGTGGTTTTGTGAAGGATAAAGGAAAAATGGTGTGAAAGTAGAAAAAGAAATGTGGATGCCATCTACTCTGTTTCCAGAGTCTATATAATATGAAAGTTTTGGGAGATAGAACAGCCTGTGATTGTGAGGAATGTTGGGGAAACATCTGAGGAAAGCCAGGTTTTTGTTAGTGTAAGAGGATAAAAGAAAGGCTCACAAAACAATTCGAAGTAAAAGATTTTCTGATGATTAGTTTTAGAGAGGCCCAGGAGAGTTTCAGGAGCCAGGGAGGTTTTGGAGATATGGAGGGTGTGGTGTTTGAAATGTTTGTGTCCCTTCAACATTCATGTTGAAACTTAATCCCCAATGCAATAGTATTGCACTGGGGTCTTGAGTTGGTGATTAGGTCATAAGAGTCAACCCTCATGAATGGTGTTAGTGCTTTCATAAAAGGGCTTGAGGGAGTCTGTTTGGCCACTTTTTGGACCTCCACTATGTATGAAGACACATAGAAGGTGTCATCCATAAGAAACAGCCCTCCTCAGACACCAAATTGGCTGGCATCTTGATCTTGGATTTCCCAGCTTCCAGAACTGTGAGTAATAAATTTCTATTATTTATAAATTACCCAGTCTAAGGTATTTTGTTATAGTAAACCAAATGGACTAATACAGAGGGTTAGAAACTGAGTCAGAACCACTGGGGATTAGAGTCTTGGGTAATGAGGTTTGATTGTGGTTTTCTTGGGATGACTGACCTGATTTGGGATAAAGGTCATGAGGAGATTAGTCCTGAAGATCCCAAGGAAGACAGTGATGAAGAAGCTATGAGTACATAGGAGACAGAAATGTGGGTCAGGGGAGATATTTTCCAGAGCAAGAAGATTTCTTGGCCTTCCCTTAATTGCTAATATTAAATGTGAGATATCCTGCTGAAACATAGTCTTATTTCAAATAGAGGCACTCTTTTCTCTCCAGTCAAATGGCAGTCTGCAAGGCAATAGTTCTACCCCAAGCAAACTATATTGCTCTTGATTTTTAGGATAGCCTCCTTAAAATAAGGATCTGGACCACAGTCTTACGCACATTCTCAATAGTGGCCAATTCTCATCCTTTGAAAAATTTTAGAAATGTCCAGGCCTTCAGAGTAAGAATGTATTAGTCCGTTCTCATGCTGCTTAATAAAGACATACCTGAGACTGTGTAATTTATAAAGGAAAGAGGTTTCATTGACTTACAGTTCACCATGGCTGGGGAGGCCCTACAATCATGGCAGAAGAGGAAACAAACAGATCCTTCTTCACATGGCAGCAGGAAGAAGAACGGGAGCTGAGTGATAGGGGGAGCCCCTTATAAAACCATCAGATCTCCTAAGAACTTACTTACTGTCATGAGAATAGCATGGGGGAAACCACTCCCATGATTCAATTACTTCCCACTTGGTCCCTCCCATCAAACTTGGAGATTATGGAAACTACAATTCAAAATGAGATTTGGATGGGGACACACAGCCAAACCATATCATTCTGTCCCTGGACCCTCCCAAATCTCATGTCTTCACATTTGAAAACACAATCATGACTTCCCAATAGTCCCCCAAAGTCTTAGCTGATTCCAGAATTAACCCAAAAATCTAAGTCCAAAGTCTCATCTGAGACAAGGCAGGTCTCTTCCACCTATGAGCCTGTAAAATCAAAAGTAAGTTGTTACTTTCTAGATACAATGGGGGTACAGCCATTGTGTAAATACACCCATTCCAAAAAGGATAAATTGGCCAAAACAAAGGGGCTATAGAAACCCATGCAAGTCTGAAATTCAGGAGGGGAGTCATTAAACCTTAAAGTTTCAAAACGATCTCCTTTGAGTTGATGTCTCACATCCAGGTCATGCTGATGCAAGATGTGGGCTCCCATAGCCTTGGGCAGCTCCACCCCTGTGGCTTTGCAGGGTACAGCCCTCCCACCCCAACTGCTTTCACAGCTGGCGTTGAGTGTCTGTGGCTTTTCCAGATGTACGGTGCAAGCTGTCGGTTGATATACCATTCTGGTGTCTGGAGGATGGTGACTCTCTTCTCAGAGCTCTACTAGGCAGTGCCCCAGTGGGAACTCTGTGTGGGGGCTCTGACCCCACATTTCGTTTCTGCCCTGTCCTAGCAGAGGTTCTCAATGAGAACTCTACCCCTGCAGCAACTTACTGCCTGGACATCCAGGCCTTTCCATACACCCTCTGAAATCTAGGCAGAGGTTTCCAAACCTCAATTCTTGTCTTCTGTGCACCTGCAGGACTAACACCACATGGAAGTTGCCAAGGCTGGGGGCTTGCACTCTCTGAAGCAATGTCCTTTGCCCATTTTAGCCATGGCTAGAGCAACTAGGATGCAGTTCAAAGGCTGCACAATGCAGAGGTGCCCTGGACCCAGCCCAGGAAACCATTTTTCCTCCTAGGTCTCAGGGCCTGTGATGGGAGGGACTGCTGTGAAGCTCTCTGACATGCCCTGGAAACATTTTCCTCATTGTCTTGGTGATTAACATTTGGCTCCTCATTACTTATGTAAATATCTGCAGCCAGCTTGAATTTCTGCCCAGAAAATGGGTTTTTCTTTTTCTTTTGCATCATCAGGTTGACAATTTTTCAAACTTTTATGTTCTACTTCCTCTTGAATATTTAGAATTTTTTTTAGAAATTTCTTCCACCAGATACCCCAAATCATCTCTCTCAAGTTCAAAGTTCCACAGATCTCCAGGGCAGGGGAAAATGCTACCAGTCTCTTTGCTAAAGCATACAAAGAGTCACCTTTGTTCCAGTTCCCAACACGCTCCTCATCTCCCTCACCACCTCAGCTTGTACTTCATTGTCCATATCACTATCAGCATTTTGGTCAAAGCCATTCAACAAGTCTCCAGGAAGTTCCAAACTTTCCCACAACTTCCTGTCTTCTGAGCCCTCCAAGTCTCTAGGACATTCCAAACTTTTCCACATTTTTCTGTCTTCTGAGTCCTCTAAGCTGTTCCAACCTCTCCTTGTTACCCAGTTCCAAAGTCACTTCCACATTTTTGGGTATCCTTATAGCAGTACCCCACTCCTGGTACTAATTTACTGTATTAGTCTGTTCTCATGCTACTAATAAAGAGATACTCGAGAGTGGGTAATTTCTAAAGGAAAGAGGTTTAATTGACTCACAGTTCAACATGACTGGGGAGGCCTCAGGAAACTTATAATCATGGCAGAAAGGGAAGCAAACATGTCCTTCACATGGCAGCAGGAAGGAGAAGGATGAAAGCTGAGCAAAAGGGAAACCTCCTTATAAAACCATCAGATCTTGTGAGAACTTACTATCACAAGAACAACACAGGGGAAACTGTTCCCATGATTCAATTACCTCCCACTAGGTCCCTCCCACACACTTGGGGATTATGGGAAACTACAATTCAAGATGAGATTTTGGTGGGGATACAGCCAAACCATATCAAAAAGCAACCTTATAATTTGTTTGCACATCTGTCTCTATGCTTGATTATGGAATATGTGCATTCAAAAAGCATATCGTAGTCATATCAATACCCCTAAGTAACTAACAGAATATTTTTCTTGAGATATTGTTGCTGAATATTTTAATATCTAAAAGGCTTTTACCATGTCTACGTAATTGCCTGTTCTATCATTAAAAGTACTTTTGTTTTAATGTTTTCTAATAAGGATAAAATTCTTCACAGAATGCAAGGCAATGAATATTCAATTGAATTCAAGACATATTGAATACTTGTTTTATAAATGAAACACTGCTATGCCCTAAAAGGAATATAAATATACAGAAAACATTGTTTCTCTCCTTGAGAAGCTAACTTTCTAAAAAGAGCACTAAAATCATAATCCAAATTAATCAGTCTAGGCAATTATCATTTTGGAATTGTTTAATGGATTCATTGCCCATGAAAATCACAGCATCGTTTATATCCATCCTTTGAAGATAAACTTGATTTTTGGAAATGCAATAATATCAGGGTGATGATGTCTAGCAAGGCATTAAGAACCATCTCCATCTGCAGCAGTATCCCAGCTGCATGGTTGGTGAGCATTGTGCCAGGAAGGTTTTGGGAGCTATGTTATAACACCACCAACAAAAAATCCCCTCTTACATTTAAACATTTCACATACAATTTTTAACAGAAAAGGAAAAGAGAGGCTAGGTTTCTCCTTGTAATATACATGCTATTTATGAATTGTGTTATACATAAAAATACACATACTCTAATAATATCCTCAGTAATTTTTTGAGTCCTACTGAGAAGTGAGTGCTTTGAAAGCTTGACAAAAAGAAAAGAAAGGAGTTTCGAAAAAAAAAAAAAAAAAAAGTTAACAGAAGTCACACCTCATCAGTGGGAGTCAAAATAATACAATTTACATGATCCTGGGAAACGGGGGGTTTCTAAGCAGCCACCAATAACACTACATATTAGTCAGACTGCCAGCACCCTGGGGAACTATCAGTTGGTTGATGAAAAAAAAAAAAAAAAGACCACTGCCTTTAAAGTAACTTAAAATTGCTGTGTGGGCAGGGTGATGAATGATCACCACAGATTCCTGCCCCCACAGCTTTTAAGAGGACTTTATAAAATGCAACTCCATGTACAAATATGCTTTATTTTAAAAATTATCAGCCATGGGGAGGTCTTCATACTCCTGGAATGCAGAACCCATGTGCTGCCTCTGTCTCCCCTATTTGTTGGACAGAGTTTGAGGCAAAAGTGATCAGCTCACCAAAAGTATTAACTGTGTCAGGGAAGAGCACAGAAATGGATAAGGTTCTGGGGACCTCATTTTATGATGTACACTCGAAAGAAGTGTACATGGTTCTCAGGTCATATATGATCTGAGAGCAGGGTTGCATGTCCATTGGAATAGTTTTGTCAGCCAAAGCCTATTTCTTTCTAACAATGCTAGACTGGTCATTCTTCATTCAAACTATATTCTTCAAGCTTCTATTATGTGGCAGGCATGCAATACAGTGCCTCGGATAGTGCAGTGAATGAGGTGGAAGTGGTCGCTTCCTTACAGATCTTCCGGTCCTAATTCAAGGAACTGAAATATGGTTCAGTTCTGATAACTGAGCACTCTGATAATGTAAACACATGGTTTTAAAAGAACTCACAGAAGAGGCTAACCCAGAAGTGAGGGTCAGAAAAAACCATGAAAGAAGACAGTAAAATCTGGAATCAGAAAAATAAGTAAACATTAGCATAATATAATAGAGAAGAAAATAGGGAGAGGCACTATTTCCAGGAGAGAAAACTGCACAGACTTGTTAACTGTGAGTGCTTAGACAAGTTATATTACCTCTGGCATGGAATAATCACTATAGAATGCTCATAAAAAGAATTAGCACTTTGTATGGTTTTCTGGGTCAAAACCAACAGGCTAATCCCCTTCTTACTTATTAAGTTCTAATCATTGTATTAATTCCAAAAATCTAATATTTGAAAACTTGCTTCCTTTCTTCTTTTGAACCTAAGAGAGTCCTGTGTTATGACAATCCCACCACTTTCTTAAGAAACCAATAGACGTGGCCTTACAAGCATTTTCCAGTAGAGTTCTCTGAATCAGGTGTCTCTGACAAAGTACCATCATCACCCACTTTAGAAAAACCAGGGTCTCTAAAGCTTGTGTGGCCAAAAGCTTCCCAGCCTTACTGAACAAATCTCTTGTTTAAACCTTCAGGTATCTGGAAGCCTTCAGCTGTCTCCGAAAGAATGCCCTCTAACAAACATTTACAAGGTATTCTTTCCAAAATATAGAACCTGGAGCATATTAAGCCTCTAGATCTAACCACTTATTTACAGGAAATACAGGGGATAGAGTAATATTTTATAAGACATGAGAATCCAATCTTGAAGATCTAGAATGTGGGAAAGTGTAGGACGGATGATCCCATTTCTTTGCTAAATAAATGTTTAAGAAAAAATAAAGGAGTAGAAATCTATAGATCAAAACAATCTTAAGAGACATATCAACCAATTCAATGTGCAGCTTTTCATAGGACTCCGATTTAAGCAACAAAAACAACTGCTAAAAAATGACAACAAAAAAGACAATCATGAAAATTCAAATGCGGAATACTTGATGATTTTAAGAAGCAATCAATTCAAGGGATGTGAGAATGAGATTGTTGCTACAAGCCTTATGACTTCTTATATTTTAGAGATAATTACCAAATTATTTATAAATAAAATGATATGTGGATTGTCTTTAAAACATCTAGTGGTAGAAGGTTTATAGAGAAACAAGATTAGCCATAAATTAATAATTGTCAAATTGGTATGGCTATGTGAGACTTTATTATTATTTTTTTTACTTTTGTCTGTATTTGAAGTTTTCTATAATAAAAAGTCAAAATTCCCTCAAATATAAAAGTGTCTTTAAAAAATTGGATGTTCATTCCCTCAAAATATACTGGACCAACACCACAGTCTTTCTCAGAGACTTTGCAAGTCAATGGTTGTTAAATGTTTTTGCAGTAATAATGAAATTGATGGCATTTCAGTAGTCTGAATAGGTGGAATGAAACTGAGTATCTGCAAGGGCAGCACCATCATTACCTGGGAGCTTGTTAGAAATGTAGAATCTCAGGCCCCACCTCAGACCTACTGCATCAGAATCTACATTTTAGCAACCGTCCTTATGATGGATATGCCCATTAAACTTTGGGGCTCAGTAGGCTGGAGATCAGGGAGAATTCCATAGCATTGCTTTAAACTAAAGTCACAGTGCATGGGTAAAAGAGGAAGAGAAAAGAAGCCATTATGTATGAAATCGTGCAATTTACATAACAGATGTTATTTTGTTTATTCAACACATATTTATTGAGCATGTGCCATGTGTAGGGTACTGTTTTATGTGCTGAGGATATTACAGTATATAAACAAACAAAAATCATCGACCTCATAGAATTTGCAGTATAATTCTAACTAGCTAACTCATACTGAGTGCTTAATAAGTATTAAGAACTGTTCTAAGTTCTTGATAGTCATAGCTCAGAAGAAAAAAAAGGTTAGTAACTGAAGAAAATGTTCAAAAATCATGATGCTAAAACATGTTATTAAACATCGAGCAGGTCAACCTAACCTTATAAGCAGAATAGACTAGCATTTCAAATCTATTATACTCTGTACCTCTTCCACCCTTATGCTTGGCATAGTAGCCCAGGATGTCTTAACTTCTACACACTACACTCATGGCATTCTGTTCATTCTTGTTCCCCAATTCCTAGAATTTTCCCTATGGCCCAGTTTCACCAGAAGTCACACAAAAGTGGAAGGAAGAGAGAAGACATGGTTTGAAATATACTCTGTGATTGGTACTTTATATATTAAAAAAACACTCATTCAAATTCTCAAAACAATGCCAAGAAGTAAATATCTCTAACATTTTACCGGAAAAAAAAATCATCGCTCAGAGAAATTAAGCAACTTGTCCAAAGTCACAAAGCTTCAAGGGTTAAGTCCCTCTAGACTCAAAGTCCAGTGGTTCTCAAACTTGATGTATATTAAAATCACCTGGAAGACTTATAAAAACATAGACCTCCAGGCCCATCCCCAGGGTTTCTGAGTCTGTAGGTCTGGCCTAGAGCCTGAGAATGTGCATTTTTAACAAGTTCCCAGGGGATGGTGGAGCTACTGCTCCCATTTTGAGAACCACTGCCTTAGTACATATTTGACCTACTTCTGAGTAAGTCTGCATTCTCCACCATGAAATGGTCCTTTAAATATTTTAAAGCAGCTATTATTTTTAATTTGTGTAATTTTAAGAGGTACAAGTACAGTCTTGTTACAGGATCTACTGCATAATGGTAAAGTCTGGGCTTTTAGTGTTACCATCACACCATAATGCATGTTGTACTTCTTAAGTATTTTCTCATCCCTCTCTGCTTTTCCACCCTCCCACCCTTCTGAATATCCCATGTCTATTATTCCACAATTTATATCCATATGTACACATTTTTTAGCTTTCATTTATATGTGAGAACATGCAGTATTTGACTTTTGTTTCTGAGTCGTTTTACTTAAGATAATGACCTCCAGTTCTACCCACGTTACTGCAAAAGATGTAATTTCAATCTTTTTATGGCTGAGTAGTGTTCTATTGTGTGTGTATATATACCACACTTTATCCATTCATCTGCTGATGAACACTTACGGTGATTCCAAATCTTTGCTATTGTGAACAGCACTGTGATAAACATACTAGTGCAGGCATCTTTTTGATATAATTATTTCATTTTTTAGAAGATATCCAGTAGTAGGATTACTAGATTGAGCAGTAGTTTTATTTTTAATTCTTTGAGAAACATCCATACTGTTTTCCAAAGAGGTTGTACTAATTTACATTCCCCCAACAGTATATAAGCGTTCCTTTTTCTCTGAATCCTTGCCAACATCTGTTATTGTTTGACTTTTTAAAAATAGCCATTCTGACTGGTATAAGATGATATCTCATTGTGGTCTCCATTTGTACTTCTCTGATATGCTTAATAATGTTAAACACTTTTTCATATACTTGTTGGCCATTTGTATGTCTTCTTTTGAAAAATGTCTATTCATGTCCTTTGCCCACTTTTCAGTGGGGTTATTTTGTTGCACTTATTGTTGTCAAGTTATCTGAGTTTTTTTGTGAATTCTATATATCAGTTCCCTATCACATGTATAGTCTCCAAATGTTTTCTTCCATTCTGCAGGTTGTCTGCTCAATTTGTTGATTCTTTCTTTTGCTGTGCAGAGACTTTTTCATTTAACTAAGTCCCATTTGCCTATTTTGGTTTTTGTTGCTTATGCTTTTGAGGTCTTAGTCATTTTATTGGTTAGCATAACAATAAGAGTTACAACCAATATACTCCACAATGTAGAATGCCTCAAACACAAGAAGGGTTTATTTCCCACTCGTGTGTCAGTCCAATTCTGGTGTTCCAGGTCAGCATACAGGTGCAGCTCCTCTCCAAGTGGACATGCAGGGACTTCAGCTAAAGGAATCACTGAAAATTTCAACATGTGGTTTCCAAGATCTGTGATCATCTCCATTTCAGCCAACCAGAAGGGAGAAAAAGTATGGAGACAAATAAATAGGAATTCTGTGTGAGAGAGGCCCAGAAGGGCACAGGGTACACATTACTTTTGCAAAACAAAATCACATGGCCACACCTAGGTGCATGTGAGGTGTAACATGTACCATAGCCTTGTGCCCCAGAATAAGAGAAAGTGGATTGTGGTGAGCATCTTTCAGTCTTTGTCACACAACTCAGTTCATTTCCCTGTCTATTTTCCCTATTATCTTTGCCTGCAGTGAAAGAGCCTAAATTTTTTGGGCAACAGATATTTATTTATACGTATATGGTAGTCACTATGTTGGATCCTAGGGGCTTTTACAGCAGTAAATGCAATATGATTTCCTGAAGCTTAACATGTGCCTAAGACTTTACATTAAATGATAAATACAATTATTATAACAGCAATAAAGAAGCAATATAGGTTGTAATGGGATCCTGACATACTTAGGGACCAGGGTAGGGGTAGGTGTGAAGGCATACAATACAAGATTTTCCTGAAGAAAAACTGTTTAAAGGAGATGCCTTAAGAAAGAATAGGCATTTGCTGGGCAAAGATTGGAGTGGGAGGAAGCCAGGAAAACATTCTGTTCCAAGTAGAGGAAATAGCGTGTGAAAGAGTCCCAGAAAAAATAAAAAGCATGAAACCTTTAAGGAACTGAGAAAAGGCCAATGTGGTTGTAACAGGAGAGTGATGAGGAGGATGGCTCAAATGGGGCTGCTAATGCAGGCAGAACTGTGTAGGCAACGCTAAAGTTGATTCACTCATCTAAGAAACATTGAGTGAGTGCCTCTCATGGTTTATGTTTTTGGTTAGGTGCTAGAAATACAGAAGTGTACAACACAAACAGAGTCCCTAACCTCACAGAGCTTACAGCTTAATAGGCAATACTTTAAATAAATAATTACCTATAAAATGAAATAGCGTAATTTATTTTAACGACCATATATTAGGTTGGTGCAAGCGTAATTGTGGTTTTTGCGTTGTTGAAATTTGCTGTTTGATATTGGAATACATTCTTAAATAAATGTGGTTATGTTATACATAATTTTAACGCACACTTCTCCCTTTATATTTTTTTGCTAATGACATTACTGGCTGTTTATTTTATATTTATTTGAGACTATGAAAATAATGTTAGACAAAAGCAAATTCAAACGAATTTCTTATTCGAATTCAAAATGGGTCCTGAAGCAGCGGAGACAACTCACAACATCAACAGCGCATTTGGCCCAGGAACTGCTAATGAACGTACAGTGCAGTGGTGTTCAAGAAGTTTTGCAAAGGAGATGAGAGCCTTGAAGATGAGGAGCATAGCGGCTGGCCATCGGAAGTTGACAATAGCCAATTGAGAACAATTATCAAAGCTGCTCCTCTTACAACTACACGAGAAGTTGGTGAAGAACTCAACGTCGACCATTCTGTGGTCATTCAGCATTTGAAGCAAATTGGAAAGGTGAGAAATCTCAGTAAATGGGTGCCTCATGAGTTGAGTAAAAAAAAAAAAAAAATTGTTGTTTTAAAGTGTTGTCTTCTCTTATTCTACACAACAACAAGGACCCATTTCTCGATTGGATGTGACATGCAATGAAAAGTGGATTTTCTACAACAACCGACAATGAATAGCTCAGTTATTGGACTGAGAAGAAGCTCCAAAGCATTTCCCGAAGCCAAACTTGCACCAAAAAAGGTCATGGTCACTGTTTGGTGGTCTGCTGTCGCTCTGATCCACTACAGGTTTCTGAATCCCAGCGAAACCGTTACATCTGAGAAGTATGCTCAGCAAATCAATGAGATGCACCAAAAACTGCAACACCTGCAGCCAGCATTGGTCAACAGAAAGGGTCCAATTCTTCACGACAACGCCTAACTGCACATCACACAACCACCACTTCAATAGTTGAACAAATTGGGCTACAAAGTTTTGCTTCATCTGCCATATTCACCTGGCCTCTTGCCAACTGACTACTGCTTCTTCAAGCATCTCAACAACTTATTGCAGGGAAAATGCTTCCACAAACAGCAGGATGCAGAAAATGCTATCCAAGAGTTTGTCAAATCCTGAAGCACAGGAATAAACAAACATTTCTCATTGATAAAAAATGTGTTGATTGTAATGGTTCCTATTTTGATAAATAAAGATGTGTTTAGTTATAATGATTTAAAATTCACAGTCCAAAACTGCAATTACGTTTGCACCAACCTAATATGATAAGGAACTGGTGGCTTGAGAGCATTTTAATGAGGGAGCTAACATAGTCTGAAGCTTCAAGAACAGCTTCTCTGAGAAGCTGATCAGAAACTAGACATGAAGAGTGATTATGTTTATAAGGGAAAAGTTGTTCTTGTCCCCATTTTACACCTGAGGGACAAAACAAATGCTTAGTACATGAATAGTTCATGGCAGAGCAGATAGTTGATCTGAGCCTGTCTGAGTCTAGGTTCTCTGATCTTTCCATTATCCCAAGCATGTAAAGGTGCCATAAAAGACAAAATAATGAGACACATGCCCTATTTTAAAGAACTTTAGGGATCAGAAAACTAACAGACATGAAACAAACAAAAATAGTTCTAATATTATTTTTCAGTTCTTTTGTGATACAGACTGAAATAATCAATGCTGGCCCAGAACATGAGACATGCCTCAGCAGACCCAGAAAGAGTGAAAAGAAGAATGAATGTGTTTATTCTGGGAGCAGGAATTCTGTAGTGTAGATGTTTAGGTACAACTATCCAACCAGCTACTAATCCAATGAATGCTACTTTTATCCAGCCAGTGTTTCTCCATCTGGTCCATCAGCCCATCATAAGAGTCTGTCAAATGCCTTGCTGAAATGCAGATAAATGTCAGGATATATTTTACATCTTCCTTTATGTGAACGTGCTTCACTATTCCTCCAGTGCTATGGGAACCCCATGGAGAACAAGAAAAGTCAACCATTAAGGTTAAGCAACTGAGCAAACAAAGATGTGTTCCTCTAAGCCTGACTGTTTGTCAAAAGTGTTGTTAAAATATTGCCTTGTCACAACTAACCAAGTGTGGTCTAGCAAAAAGACACATAGGGCTGGATACAGTGGCACCGTGAATTCCCATATGAGCTCTGTCACTGCTAGCTCAATCATTTATTGGACTCATTCTTCTCAACAACACAGAAACGGGTGAGGAAATCAATCAGTGAATTTTATTCATTCAATCAGCCAACATTTACTGGGAACATACAGTCAGCCATTGACAGTTATTGAGGATACAGAGCAGAATAAGTCAAGGTCCTTTCTCTTGAGGGACTCATATATTCTAGCAAGAAGGGCAGACGTGAAGTGGAGAATTGTCTGTGAAAAGCTAAATTTATGGAGGAAGAACATCATTGATCCTGCATAAAGGAATCAGAAAAGCTTTCACATAGGGGATAACATTTACCACGTCTTAAAGAGTGTGAGTCTGAAAGTGGATGGAGGGTGTATAGAGGGCTATAAGAACATTCCAGGCAGAGTATACAATGAGCAGAGGTGTGAAAGCCTGATAGGCCTTTGCCATGTTCAAGAAATAGTGAGAAGACTGGCGTGGCTGGAATGGGTTGGGGTTGGGGTAACTGTTCAGAGATATAGTTGGAAGGGAAGGCTGTGCTGATATAGTCAAATATTATGCTCAAATGTTCATATCTGATATGGTTTGGCTCTGTGTCCCCACCCAGATCTCATCTTGTATTGCACTCCCATAATTCCCACATGTTTTAGGAGGGACCTGGTGGGAGATAATTGAATCATGGGGTCAGTTTCCCCCATACTGTTCTCCTGGTAGTGAAAAAGTCTCATGAGATCTGGTTTCATCAGTGGTTTCTGCTTTTGTGTCTTCTCTCATTCTCTCTTTGCCTGCCACCATCCATTTAAGACGTGACTTGCTCTTCCTTGCCTTCCACCATGATTGTGATGTTTCCCCAGCCACAGGGAACTGTTAAGTCCAATTGAACCTCTTTCTTTTGTAAATTGCCCAGTCTTGGGTATGACTTTTTCAGCAGCATGAAAATGGATTAGTATAATGTCCTATCCTGAAAGCAGTGGAGAAGTATTGGAGATTTTTATGGCAGAAATGACATACTAAGATTACATTAACTTTGACAATGAGATTCCCATATGTTTGAATCAATCTGAATGTAATCAATAACTCATCAAACTGGCATAGAATAACAAAAGAACTTGACTGCTCTATCACTTATTAGCAATGTGACCTTGAGTAATTAACTTAGCCTCTCTGTAAGCTTCTTAAGCATAAAATGGGTATAACAATAGTTCACATTTTATGTACACCTAGAATTGAGTATGATTTCTATAAATATTAGTTGTGGTGGTTTTCTAAATCTAAAGCTATTATTATGATTCATGGGCACCTGCTTTGTATTATTATTAATAACAGTAACACCAACAATAATAATAGTTATGTTTATTGGGGGCCTACCATATGCCAGGTAACATTTACATTATTAATATTTTAATTTTTATAATGTCTTTAAGGGACAGATATTGTAATTCCTATTTTATAAATGAGGAAAATGAGGTACAGAGACTCTAAATAATTTGGCCCACAGGCAACAGAGTCAGTATTTAGTGAAGCCTGAAATGAAAGTACTTGTTCCATTCTACCATGCTGTTTCTTGGCTTAGATAAATGACATATTCCTCCAATTACCTGAGCCAAAGACATTTTTGAGGCCATAGTTTAATTAGAAGACAGGAACACTGTGCCATGAGGGCTAAAGGTAATGCTATCTTTTATTCTTTTACTTGCTACTGTATGGACAAGTAAAAAGGCAAAGATTCTTTACCATAAAAGTTGGTTCATACCTTATCCTGACCTGTTTACCTCCTGACCAGATGTTCAGTGTCTGTATTTCTACCGCCTTTTGCATTTTTCCTCTTTCATGCAGCAAGTGCACAGCACAAATCTAGCACCTTGGACCATGTTGTGTTTTGGGTGAATGTAATTTGGGTGAATAAAAGTCTTACTACCCTCCACCCACTTCTCATGTCTTCTGTTGGAACTTGATATTCAGGCACAAATGAGAATGTCTGTCCATGTTTGGGGAGAGTCAGGAAAGAAATTCTTCTGGGGCCCCGGTTACTGAGCCTTATAACTGTGTACCCTGAAATTTTAGGTTCCTGAGCTATTAAAAATACCTATTTGCTCATCATTTCAGAATCATTTCTATGAAGACTTCTCATTAGGAACCTTCAGAGAGGAACAGAGTGAGTGGCAGGATTAAGGTGTTATGAATATCCCACTCTGAATCCACAAAAATTAGTGCCGGGAAGATGAACCAAGAACTCCAAACTTCTGTCTTTCCGATGGTGCTCACTTGTCAAGTGACATTGCGGCACAGTGACAGGAGCGTTGGGCATTGTGGTTAAAGGCACTGGCCTGGAGTCAGACAGGATTTGAGTTTTCCTTTTTTTTTTTTAACTGCATCATCTGGAGCCAGTTATTTAACTTTTTAAAATTAATTTTCAGTTTCTTCATTTTAAATTGGAAGAATTAATACTTCCTTTGCATGACTGTTATAAAAACTAAACAAAATAGGAGATATGAAGTGCCTAGAATAGTGCCTGACACCCGGAAGGTACCCAATAAGTGGACACATCCTGCTTTAATTATTACATATTAATTACGTATTTTCTCTGACTACAGTGTTCATATTTAATCAAAGAGTGGGCAAATCTCCATTCCACAAGCTGCTGCTGTGAAGACAGACACAACTTAATGATTTGAAAGTATTATTTATGAAAGACAAATATAACATGAGTTATCCATTGTTTTCCTTTTGAATTATTTATGAAGTATTTGACAACAGGAATTCAGATCAGTCCGAATAAAAGCTGTGAGTTGATGTTTGCTGCATTGTACTTAAAAAAATTGAGTAGCTTGAGAAAACATTATTTCACAAACTGCATTCTCACTTAATGATTTAATCTCTAAAGATACATGTTAACAATCACTCTAAATAAGCTCTTGAAAGAAAAATATACTGCTTCTCACTACCCACCCAACAATCTGTAGCTTGGCTTTTAGGAATTAAGTGATCATTTAGGAAAAAAAAAAAACACCTTGTAGCAAAAGCCCAGGAAATATGGAAAAGAAAAAGGAAAGAGCCTCAAGTAATGAACTGAAAGTAGGGACCAAAATATAGAGTGGATTCCCCTTCCTAGATGTCTGTAACATTCTTAGGAAAAAAATACTGTCAGGGGAACTATGAGCAGATTTATTTCAAATTTAGCAAATATCATAGACTTTTATCTACCATTACCCCCGCTACACAAAAGGTAATTAAGTCCCAGAAATATTAAATAACTTGCTTAAGGCTATGCAACTAAAAATGGTGAAGAGGAAACCCTGAAGAAAGCCTCAACTATGATTTTTTTTTTTTGGTATGCTGCTGCTTTTACTAGTCCTACACAGGAGCTGGCATTTAGCATCATTTCCATTCTAGCTGGAGAAGGAAATTTAAACAGCAATAATGTTACCTATCAGTTCATAGTTCCCATAAATTATATCAATACTCTTAGAGAATTTTCTAAGATTCTGATCTCCTTGAAAAAGGGAATTGTGGCAGAAAGTATTGCTCGACTGTGTATTAGTAATAGCCACCTGATCCTACCAACAAAGCCTTGAATTTCTTCAGAGGATGAGTTGCAAGTACCCAGGGGTAAGTGAGTTTACAGTGAAGCTGGTAAAGGTTACATTGAAGCTAGTCAGGTCCCCTCCCTTGCATGACTACAATGAAGCTACTAGCCATGACTCCAGTGAAGCTAGTCAGAGCCCCTCCCTAGCATGGCTGCTTGCTAGAGCATATGGGGGGCCCCTAACAAGCTGGTGTTTGGAATTTTGTATTCTTTTGCTTAAACAACCTTCAGGTTTTACAAAGACTGGATCCACCCATGTGCTTAGGAATGGTGGGCCCTTGGCCCAGATCTAAGAGATGAATCATGATTGATACAAGCCATTCAGAGAAATATTATTTTTCTTTGCCAGTGGTTTGCTCTAGAGAAAGTCTGCTGACAGCTTCTGGAGATAATATTCCTTCAGGATAAAATAAAGAACTATATAAAGAAAAGGCTTTTCATACCGTCTACTCCAACATCACCCTCTCTTTTCTTTCAGACCTTGTTGTGTGATGCTTTGAGCTATGTAAACTATCTTAAAACCATAAAAAAATGATGAGACTAACGCACAAGCCAACTGATCACCCTGATATAATTGGGTTGCTGGAACAATCCTGGGACTTCTCATCACCAAATTCCTTGTAAATAATGGATATAGCCATTCCTTATGAATATAACCACAATTTGTTTGTTGTCCATTCACCATTTGATGTATGTTTGGGTGATTTCCAGTTTATGGCTATTATGAAAAAAAGCCACTATGAGCTAGTCTGTGTGTAGGCCTATGTCTTGATTTCTGTCAGGTAAATAACTTTGTGGTAGAATCAATGGGTCTTATGGTAAGTGTATGTTCAACTGTATAAGAAACTACCAAACTGTTTTCCAAAGTGGTTGTACCATTTTGCATTCCAACAGCAGTGTATGAGAGTTCCAGTTTCTCCATTTCCTTGCCAATACTTAATACTGTCAGTCTTTTTAACTTTAGCCATTCTGTGGTATGATGGTGATTCCACTCATTATGGCTTTAATTAATCTTTCCCTAATTACTAATGATGCTGAGCATTTTTCTTGGGCTTATTTGCCCTTCCTATAGCCCTCTAAATATTCAGGTTCTATTCTTTTTAGAAACATACATGTTGTTTATATAGCCTGATTGCAAATTCTTTGTCAAATATATGTTTTGCAAATATTTTCTCTTGGTATACATTTACCTTTTCATATTCTTTTTTTCACTATCAATATTTATTTATTTATTTATTCATTTAATTTCAATAGTTTTGGGGGAACAGATGATGTTTGGTTACAAGGATAAGTTCTTTAGTGGTGATTTCTGAGATTTTGGTATACCCACCCAAGCAGTGTAAACTACAACCAATGTGTAGTCTTTTATCCCTCATCCCCGCTCCCACCCTTCCCCCCAGGTCCCCAGAGTCCATTATATCATTCTTATTCCTTTGTGTCCTCAGAGCTTAGCTCCTACTTGTAAGTGAGAACATACAGTGTTTGGTTTTCCATTCTTGAGTTACTTCACGTGGAATAATGCTCTCCAACTCCATCCAGGTTGCTGCAAATGCCATTATTTCATTCTTCTTTATGGCTGAGTAGTATTCCATTGTTATTTGATTATATATATAATCAAATGCAAATCAAAACCAGAATGTTTTGCAATGCAAATCAAAACCACAATGTAATACCACCTTACTCCTGCAAGAATGGCCAAAATTCAAAAATCAAAAAATGTTGCCAAGCATGTGGTGAAAAGGAACACTTTTACGCTACTGGCGAGAATGTAAACTAGTCCAACCACTATGGAAAAAAGTGTGGAGATTCCTTAAAGAACTAAAAGTAGAACTACCATTTGATCCAGAAATCCCACTACTGGGAATCTACCCAAAGGAAAATAAGTCGTTATATGAAAAAGACACTTGCACAAGCATGTTTACAGCAACACAACTTACAATTGCAGAAATATGGAACCAGCCTCAATGCCTATCAACCAGTGAGTGAGTAAAGAAATGTAATATATATAATATATACCACATTATATATAACATAATAAATATATATAATATATATAATGTAGTAATAGTCCATTGTATCATTCTTATGCCTTTGCATCCTCATAGCTTAGCTCCCACATATCAGTGAGAACATACAATGTTTGGTTTTCCATTCCTGAGTTACATCACTTAGAATAATAGTCTCGAATCTCATCCAGGTCACTGCAAATGCTGTTAATTAATTTCTTTTTATGGCTTGTGTAGTATTCCATCATATATATATATATATTTTTATATAAATATATATATATATAAATATATATATAAATATATATATATATAAATATATATATATAAATATATATATATATAAATATATATATATAAATATATATATATATAAATATATATATATAAATATATATATATATATATATGATGTGGGGTGTGTGTGTGTGTGTATATATATATATATATATATACCACAGTATCTTTATCCACTCGTTTTTTCATGGGCATTCTGGTTGGTTCCACGATTTTGCAATTGTGAATTGTGCTGCTATAAACATGAGTCTACAAGTGTCTTTTTCATTTAAGGACTTATTTTCCTCTGGGTAGATACCCAGTAGTGGGATTTCTGGATCAAATGATACTTCTACTTTTAGTTCTTTAAAGAGTCTCCATCTCCACACTTTTTTCCATAGTGTTTGTACTAGTTTACATTTCCACCAGCAGTGTAAAAGAGTACCCTTTTCACCACATCTTTGCCAACATTTTATAATTTTTTAAATTATGGCCATTCTTGCAGGAGTAAGGTGTTATCACATCATGGCTTTGATTTGCACTTCCCTGATCATTAGTGACATTGAACTTTTTTTATGTGTTTGTTGGCCATTTATCTATCTCCTTTTGAGAAATATCTGTGCATCTCCTTAGTCCACTTTTTTATGGGATTATTATTTGTTGTTGTTGTTCTTGCTGATTTGTTTTGAGTTCCTTGTAGATTGTGGATATTAGTCCTTCATTGGATGAATAGTTAGTGAATATTTTCTCCCACTCTATGGGTTGTCTGTTTACTTTGCTGATTATTATTATTATTTTTGCTGTGCAGAAACATTTTAGTTTAATTAAGTTCCATCTATTTATCTTTGCTTTTGTTGTATTTTCTTTCGGGTACTTGGTCATGAATTCTGCCTAAGCCACTGTCTAGAAGAGCTTTTCTGATGTTATCTGCTAGAATTTTTATGGTTTCAGATATTAGATTTAAGTCTTTGATCCATCCTGAGGTGATTTTTGTATATGATGAGACATGAGGATCCAGTTACATTCTTCTACATGTGGCTTGCCAATTATCCCAGCATCATTTGTTGAATAGGGTGTCCTTTCCTCACTATATGTTTTGGCTTGCTTTGTCGAAGATCAGTTGGCTGCTGGTATTTGGCTTTCTTTCTGGGTTCTCTATTTGGTTGCATTGACCTATGTGCCTATTTTTATACCAGTATCATGCTGTTTGGTAACTAACGCCTTGTAGTTAGTTTGAAGTCAGGTAATGCAATACCTCCAAATTTATTCTTTTTGCTTAGTGTTGCTTTGGCTATGTGGGCTCTTTTTTGGTTCCATATGAATTTCAGGATTTTTTTTTAGTTCGTGAAGAATGATGATGGTATTATTTTTTATGGGAATTTCATTGAATTTATAGACTGCCTTTGTCAGTATGGCCATTTTCACAATGTCGATTCTACTTATCCATGAGAATGGTATATGTTTCTATTTGTTTGTGTCATCTATGATTTCTTTCAGCAGTGTTTTGTGGTTTTCCTTGTAGAGATCTTTCACTTTCTTGGTTAGGTATATTCGTAAGTATTTTAATTTATTTTATTTTTGCAGCTGTTGTAAAAGGGGTTGAGTTCTTGATTTAATTCTCAGTTTGGTCACTATTAGTGTATAGCAGTGCTACTAATTTGTGTACGTTGATTTTGTATCTGAAACTTTACTGAATTCATTTATCAGATATAGGAGCTTTTTGGATGAGTCTTTAGGGTTTCCTAGGTATATGATCATGTCATGTCATGGTGAACAGTGACAATTTGACTTCCTCTTTACTGATTTGAATGCCCTTTATTTCTTTGTCTTGTCTGATTGCTCTGGCTAAGACTTCCAACACTATGTTGAATAGGAGTGGTGAAAGTGGGCATCCTTGTCTTGTTCCAGTTCTCAGGGGGAATGCTTTCAACTATTTCTCATTCAGTATAATGTTGGCTGTGGGTTTTTCATACATGGCTTTTATCACCTTAGTATGTCCTTTCTATGCCAATTTTGCTGAGAGTTTTAATCTTAAAGGGATGCTGGATTTTGTCAAATGCTTTTTCTGCATCTATTGAGATGATAATATTATTTTTGTTTTTAATTTTGTTTATGTGGTGTATCAACTTTATTGACTTGCATATGTTAAACCAACCCTGCATCCCTGAAATGAAACCCACTTGATTACGGTATATTATCTTTTTGATATGCTGTTGGATTCAGTTAGCTAGTATTTTGTTGACGATTTTTGCCTCTATGTTCATCAGAGATATTGGTCTGTAGTTTTCTTTTTTTGTTATGTCCTTTCCTGGTTTTGGCATTAGGATAATACTGGCTTCATAGAGTAATTTAGGAAGAATCCCCTCTATCTTTTGGAATAGCTTCAATGAGGTTGGTACTAATTCCTTTTTGAATGTCTGATAGAACTCCACTGAGAATCTGGACATTTTTGTTGGCATTTTTTTAAATTACTGTTTTAATCTCACTACTTGTTATTGGTCTGTTCAGACTTTCTATTATTTTCTGGTTTAATCTAGGAGAGTTGTATATTTCCAGGAATGTATCCATCTCCTCTAGGTTTTCTAGTTTGTGTTCCTAAAGGTGTTCATAGTAGCCTTGAATGATCTCTTGTATTTCTGTGGTATCGGTTGTAATATCTCCCATTTAGTTTTTAATTGGGCTTATTTTCTTGGTTAATCTCACTAATGGTCTATCTATTTTGTTTATTTTTTCAAAGAACCAGCTTTTTATTTCATTTATCTTTTGTGTTTTTTTGTTCCAATTTCATTTATTTCTGCTTTGATCTTTGTTATCTCTTTTCTTCTGCTGTGTTTGGGTTTGATAAGTTCTTCTGTCTCTAGTTCCTTGAGGTGTGAGCTTAGATTGTCTATCTGTGCTTTTTCAGAGTTTTTGATGTAGGCATTTGATACTATGAACATTCCTCTTAGTACTTCTTTTGCTGTATCCCAGAGGTTTTCATAGGTTGAGTCATGATTATCATTCAGTTTAAAGAATTTTAAATTTCCATCTTCATTTTATTATTGATCTAAAGATTAATCAGGAGCAGATTATTTCATTTTCATGTATTTGTATAGTTTTTGAGGTTTCCTTTTGGAGTTAATTTCTAATTTTATTCCACTGTGGTCTGAGAAAGTACCTGATATAATTTCTATTTTCTTAAATTTATTGAGGCTTGTTTTGTGGCCTATCATATGGTTTATCTTAGAGAATGTTCCATGTATTAATAAATAGAATGCATATTCTGCAGTTGTTGGGCAGAATATTCTGTAAATATCTGTTAAGTTCATTTGTTCTAGGATATAGTTTCAATCCGTTGTTTCTTTATTGACTTTCTGTCTTGATGACCTGTCCAGTACTGTTAGTGGAGTACTGAGGCCCACCACTATTACTGTGTTGCCATCTACTGCATTTCTTAGGTCTAGTAGTAATTGTTTTATAAATCTGAGAGCTCCAGTGTTAGTTGCATATATATTTAGGACTGTAATATTTTCTTGTTGGACTAATTGTTTTATAATTATATAATGTATCTCTTTTTCTTTTGTAACTGTTGTTGCTTTAAGGTCTATTTTGTCTGATATAAAATTAGATACTCCTGCTTGCTTTTGGTTTCCATTTGCATGCAATATCCTTTTTCCACCCCTTTACCTTAAGTTTATGTGAGTCCTTATGTGTAAGATGAGTCTCTTGAAAACAGCAGGTGCTTGGTTAGTGAATATTTATCCATTCTGCCATTCTGTGTCTCTTATGTGGAGCATTTCATCCATTTACATTCTATGTTAGTATTGAGATGTGAGGTACTGTTCTCTTTATCATGCTAGTTGTTGCCTGAATACTGTGGGGTTTTTTTCATTGTGTTATTGTTTTATAGGCTCTATGACATTTATGCTTTACAAAGATTCTATTTTGGTGTATTTTGAGGTTTGTTTCAAGAGTTAGAATTCCTTTTAGCCTTTCTTCTATGCTAACTTGGTAGAGGTGAATTCTCTCAGCAATTGCTTGTCTAAAAAAGACTATTTCTCAGCCGGGTGCTGTGGCTCATGCCTGTAACCCCAGCAGTTTGGGAGGCCGAGGTGGGTAGATCACGAGATCAGGAGATCGAGACCATCCTGGCTAACACGGTGAAACCCTGTCTCTACTAAAAAAAAAAATACAAAAAATTAGCTGGGTGTGGTGGTGGGTACCTGTAGTCCCAGCTACTTGGGAGGCTGAGGCAGGAGAATGGCGTGAACCCAGAAGGCAGAGCTTGCAGTGAGCCAAGATTGTGCCACTGCACTCCAGTCTGGGTGACAGAGTGAGACTCAATCTAAAAAAAAAAAAAAAAAAAAAAAAAGACTATCTCTCCTTCATTTATGAAGCTTAGTTTCTCTGGATACAAAATTCTTGGCAAAACAAAATAATTATTTTATTTAAGGAGGATAAATATAGGACCCTAATCCCTTCTGGATTATACAGTTTCTGCTGAGAAATCTGCTATTAATCTGACAGGTTTTCCTTTATAGGTTACCTGATGCTTTTGCCTCACAGATCTTAAGATTCTTTTCTTTGTCTTGACTTTAGATAACCTGATGACTATGTGCCTAGGTGATGATCTTTTTGCAATAAATTTCCCTGGTGTTCTTTCAGCTTCTTGTATTTGGATGTCTAGATCTCTAGCAAGACCAGAGAAGTTTTCCTGAATTATTCCCTCAAATATGTTTTCCAAACTTTTAGATTTATCTTCTTCCTCAGGAACACCAATTTTTCTTAGCTTTGGTCATTTAACATAATCCCAAAGTTTTTGGAGGCTTTGTTCATTTTTTAAAAATTATTCTTTCTTTGTCTTTGTTGAATGCGGTTAATTCAAAAGCATTGTCTTCAAGCTCTGATGTTGTTTCTTCTACTTGTTCAATTCTATTGTTGAAACTTTCCAGTGTATCTTGCATTTCTCTAAGTGTGTCTTTCATTTCCAGGAGTTGTGATTGTCTTTCCTTTATGATATCTATTTCTCTGGAGGCTTTTTCATCCATATCCTGTATTTTTAAAAAAAATTCTTTAAGTTGGTTTTCACCTTTCTCTGGTACTTCCTTAAGTAGCTTAATAATCAACCTTCTAAATTCTTTATCTGGCACTTCAGAGATTTTGTCTTGGTTTGGATCCATTGCTAGAGAGCTAGTGTGATATTTTGGTGGTGTTATACAACCTTGGTTTGTCATATTACAAGAATTACTTTTCTGGTTCTGTCTCATTTGGGTAGACTGTTTCAGTGGAAAAATTTGGAACATAAGAGCTGCTGTTCAGATTCTTTTGTGCCACAGGGTGATCCCTTGATGTGGTGCTTTCCCCCCTTACTCTAGGGGTGGGGCTTCTTGAGAGTCAGACTGCAGTGATTGTTATTGCTCTTCTGAGTCTAGCCACAAAGCAGGGCTACTGGGCTCCATGCTGGTGTTGAGGAATGTCTGCAAAGAGTTCTGTGATGTGATCTATCTTCAGGTCTCTCAGCCATGGATACCAGCACCTGCTCTGGTGGAAGGGGCAGTGGAGTGGACTCTGTGGGAATCCTTGGTTGTAGTTTTGTTTTGTGTACCGGTTTTCTCAAATGCTGGTTTGTGTGTGAAAATCAATTGTTCTGGTATCATTTATTGGGTCTTTTCAACAAGTCCATTAATTACCTTGGCAGTTTTGTAAAAAATCAAGTGAAGTTGTCACATGGACAGACTTAGGACCTCTGGTTAGCCAGGGTGTTGCAAGTGATGGAATTAGCTGTTGTTTTCTCCTTCTTTGGAGCAGAGTTCTGTTATGAGTTGCTTGAATGGCTTGAGTTAGGCCTCCATCCAGGAGGTGATTCTTTCAAGAGAGCACCAGCTGCAGTAGTAGAAAGTGGATATAATCTTGCCCTGCATTGGCCAGGATAAGTACTCAGGTTTCTCAGGCAATGGGCAGGGCCATAGAGCTCCCAGGAATTTATGTCTTTTGTCTTCAGCTACCAGGGTGGGTAGAGAAAAACCATCAGGTGGGGGCAGTGTTAGGCAGGTCTGAGCTCAGACTCTCCTTGGGCAGAGCTTGCTGTGGCCAGCCACTGTGGGGCATGGGAGGGTGGTTCTCAGACCAATGGAGTTATGTTCCTAGGTGGACTATGGCTGCCTCTGCTGCATCATACAGGTTGCCAGGGCAGTGGGGGAATGCCAGCAGTGACAGGCCTCACCCAGCTATCATGCAGCCAGCAAGTCCAGTCTCACTCCCACCGTGCCCCACCAACAGCACCCAGTTTATATCTAGGCAGCCAGCAAGCAGAGCTGAGATCTTGCCCCAGGCTACAAGCCTCTCCACTGAGAAAGCAAGCAGGGATCTCAGGTCTTGCCCCTCCCCACCTGCCCTCATCTTTGGCTTGGCTACTGTGCTCATATCTCCACTTCATCTCCCCTGACCCATGAATTCTGCTCAGGAAAATTCAGGCTCAGTTGAAATTATTACAAAGTTCAGCTAGACGCTTATTTAACCCTGTGACCCCTCCCCATTTCTGCTGGCTGCCTTCCCCAAGGACTCCATGAAATACAGCCAGGAATGGGTTCCTTGGGCATGAGCTGGGGACCAGTAGTGACTCCAGGGCTCTTCCCACTGCTTCTTCTACTTTTATATTTCGCTTGGCTCTCTAAGTCCATTTCAGTTCTAGGTAAGGTTAAATCCTTCTCCCATGATCTGGATTTTTAGGTTTCCCTGTGAAGATGTGTATTTCGAGGCAGACTTTTCTCCCCATCACTTTGGGGACTCACAGTGTTTTGGATCTCTTCTGGAGTTTGCAGTGGCAAGCCACATTTTTCAAAGGGTCTGTGAAAGGGTCACTCAGTTTTTCCAGTATGTTCTTGTGGTGGTTCTAGAGCAAAAGTTCACAATGTGAGTCTCCTCACTCTGTTCTGTCCATCCAAGTGGGAGCTACATGTTAGTCCTGTCTCCTATTTGCCATTTTTCCTAAACTCCCACCTTTTCATACTCTTAATGGGATCTTTTGGAGAGTAAAGTTTTAATTTTAAAGAAGTTCAATATATTATTATTTTTCTGTTTTGCTTTGTGTTTTTAGTATCCTATTTAAGAAATCTGTGCCTAACCTAAAGATACAATCTTTTTTCTGCTATAGTTTATTCTATAAATGTCATAATATTTGCTCTTAAATTTGTGTCTATAATCTATTTCAAGTCCATTTTTATAAAGTGTTAATAAAAGGTTAAATTTTATTTGTTTGCACATGAAAATCCAATTGTTTTGGTATCATTTATTGAGTATTCTCAACAAGTCCATTAATTACCTTGAAAGTTTTGTAAAAAATCAATTGACCTTATAAGCATTGTCTATTTTCAGACTTTCTAGTTTGTTCCATTGACCTACATGCCTGCCTTTCCCCATACCACACTGCCTTGTTTGCTATACTTTTATAATAAGTTTTGCACTCACTTAGTAAATGTCCTCCAACTTTGCTTTTTGTTGTTGTTGTTTTCTATTGTAATTCCTTTGCATGAATTTTAGACTAAGCTTGTCAATTTTTACAAAGAAAACTTACTGAAATTTTGATTAGTACTGAATTGAATCCACAGAATACTTAAGGTAAAATTGACATCTTAAAAAAATTATGTTTTCTGATACATGAAAATGATATATATCTCTATTTAGGTCATCTTGAGTTTCTCACAGTTGGTTTTCAATGGAGAAGTCTAGTACATATTTACCCCAAAATATTTCATATTGTTCAATGCTATAGCAAATAATATTTTTACTTTAATTTCCAATTGTTTCTTTTTACTATATAAAAATACAATTGATGTTTGTATATTGATCTTATATCCTACAAATGGGCTAAACATAATTATTAGTTCTGGTAGCATTTTTGAAAATGCCTTCCGATTTTTGGCAGAGACCATGATATCATCTGCAAATTAAGACAGTTTTTTATTTATCCTTTTTCAATCTCAATGCCATTTATTTCTTGTACTTTTTTAATACATTAGCTAGGACCACAAATACAATATTAAATACAAGTGGGGAAAGAGGATATTCTTGCCTCACATGAGAAATAATTTATATTTATTTATTTGTTTATTGAGATAGGTTCTCACTTTGTCACCCAGGCTGTAGTGCAGTGGCGTAATCACAGCTCAATGCAGCCTTGACCTCCAGGGCTCAAGTGATCATTCCACCTCAGCCCCCCAAGTAGCTGGCACCACAGGCACACATCACTATGCCCGGCTGATTTTTAGTAGAGATGGGGTTTTGCCATGTTGCCCAGGCTGGTCTCACACTCCTGAGCTCAAGTGATCCAGTGACCTTGACCTCCCAAAATGCTGGGATTCCAGGCATGAGCCATCATGCTCAGGCAGAATTTAGTCTTTCATCATAATATTGGCTATAAGTTTTTCAGAAATTTTCTTTTTCAGGTTGAAGTAGTACTTTTCTGTACCTAGTATTCTGAGGATTTCCACTGTGAAAAGTGTTGAATCTTTTAAGTGCTTTTGTTGGATCTATTGAGATGATACTAAGGATTTCCCTTTCTGTCTCTTAGCATAGCAAGTTCCAATGACTGATTTCTGAGTGTTAAACCAATCATGTATTTTGGTGAGAAATTCTACTTGGTCATAAAATATTATCATTTGATACATTTGTGAATTATATTTGCTAAAATCTTGGTAGGAATTTTGCATCTATATTCATTAGAGTTATATATTGTTGCTATGTCTTTGGTTTTAGTATCAAAGTAATACTGGCTACAAAGAATGAGATAGAATTTATTCCCTCCTTATTTATTTTTTGAAAGAGTTTACGTATCATTTATATTATTTTTCTGTAAATGTTTGATAGAATTTACCAGTGAAACCATCTGTGTGCACTGTTTTTCTGTCAGTAAATTTTTAATCAAAAATGTAATTCTTTAATAGAGATTGGACTGTTTTGTTATTTATTTTTCCTAAGTTTTGATAGATTATGTTTTTCATGGAATTTGCCCATTTTTCCTACATTTTCTAACTTATTGACATAAAGTTTTTGCAACATTCCCTTAGTATTCTTTTAATGTTTCTAGAATATATAGTGATATCAACTCTCTCATTCATGATATTGGCAATTTTTGTCTTCTCTCTTCTTTTCCTGGTAAGTCTGGGTAGGGAATTATCAATCTTATTAATCTTATCAAGTAACTAGCTTTTGGTTGCACTGATATTTCTCTATTGATTTTTTGTTTTCTATTTCACCGTTTTCTGTGCTGATTATTTCATCTGCTTAGTTGGATTCCATTTGCTCTTCCATTTATAATTTCTTTAAAGTGGAAGCTAAGGTCATTGACTTGAGTACTTTTTTCTTTCCTAGTATAGACATTTTGTGCTATAAATTTCCCTCTTAATTCAGCTTTGATGGCATCCACAATTTATTTTCATTCAGTTCAAGGTATTTTTAAATTACGCTTTTGATTACTTTTTAGTTCGTGGGGTATTTAGAATTGTGTTATTTAGTTTCCAAATATTTGGGGTTTTTCCAGATGTTTTCACATTATTGATTTCTAGTTTAATTTCACTGTGGTCGGAGAACATAGTTTTTATGACTTGAATAATTTTAAAATTTATATGGACTTGCTTTATGGCCAAGAATATGGTCTATGTGGGTAAACATTCTATGTTAACTTGATAAAACAATCTATTTTGCTGTTGTTGGGTGGAACATTCTATAAATGTCAATTAGTTCAAATTGGTTGACAGTGTTGTACAGATTTTAGACACCTTTACTGATTTTTGTCTACTTGTTCTATCAATTATTGAGAAAGGGGCATTGAAATATTCAAGTATAACTGTTGATATGTCTACTTCTCTTTGCAGTTCTATCAGGTTTTGCTCTGTGTATTTGAGTGTCTAGGATTGTTGCTTTAACCATTAGGATTGTTATGTCCTCTAGATAAACTGATCCCTTTATTATTAAGAAATGATCTTCTTTTTATCCCTGGTAATATACTTTGCCTTCAAATTGATTTTGATATTAATAGAGCTACATAAGCTTTCTTTTGATTAGTATTAGCAAATGAATTTTTTACCATCTTTTACTTTTTTTTTTTTTTTTTTTTTTTTGAGAGGGAGTCTTGCTCTGTCACCCAGGCTGGAGTGCAGTGGCGTGATCTGGGCTCACTGCAAGCCCCGCCTCCTGGATTCAAGCCATTCTCCTGCCTCAGCCTCCCGAGTAGCTGGGACTACAGGCACCCGCCACCACGCCCGGCTAATTTTTTTTTTTTTTTTTTTTTTTGTATTTTTAGTAGAGATGGGGTTTCACTGTGTTAGCCAGGACAGTCTGTATCTCCTGACCTCGTGATCCGCCTGCCTCGGCCTACCAAAGTGCTGGGATTACAGGCGTGAACCACTGTGCCCGGCCCCATCTTTTAATCTTTTTCTCTTTCTGCTTAAAGTGTTTTGCTGACAGGATATAATTAGGTCTTTCTAGTTTATCCAAATGTCAATCTCTACCTTTTAATCAGGATATTAAGCCATTCACATTTAATGATAATATTGATATGATGATGTTTAAACCTACTTTAATTTAACCATCATAATTTCTTACTATATAACAAGAACCTCCTGCCTTGCCATCTCGGAACAACAAGCCTAGCTTAGTACAATAAGAAGATGCTGAAATGGCAAAGGTTCGTGTTAAAGGTCAGCTATTCCAAAGAATCTGAGACAGCAGCCCCAATCTTCAATGAACTTGAGGTACATGACAGTAAAAATATCCCAGATAAAATCATAGAATGAGAATAAAAATAACTAATCAGAAGCCAAGTTATAGTCCCATAAATTACCAGTCTTTACTTATTGTCTACCATAAATATCTATTCTGGGAATATAATAAATTTCATCAGTAGAGTACATTGTGAAACACAGGATTTGTATCTTCATTTAGAATTTTTTCGTAAAATTCCAAGTACTTTGAATCTGGTTTCCTTGCCTCTGATTAAACTTTCCTATACACACAAACATATAAAATGTGTGTATGTCTTTGGAAGAAAGAACATAACTAAATATTATCACCCACAAATAAGTAAAATTCAGTAAGACAAAAATAACTGGGGGCAAACTTGGAATACCCCTAAACTTTTATTTTTTCTAAACGTAGGAAGCAAATAATATTTTTGAAATGATTTCCTAATAGATTAGGTATTCTTTTATAATTAATGAGAGGAATATCCCAGCTGCCAGGAGCTTCGAGTATTAGTAGAGGGTCTTAGGTCAGATGGAAAAGGACACAGTATCTTTAAGACACTGAGAATTTTCTCTAGAGGGCTAGTAATTTTGAAAATATAAAACCAATACTCTTCTCAGGATGTATAGTGAGTCTTTTAATATATCTCATATCTTCACAGGACTAAAAGTGGATTAAAAAAATAAAAATTCCAGACAAAGCAGGAAAGACTTATTGAACTCTATGATATCACATGACAGTGTGGATTGATTAACTTTCCTCAATGAATTGATTCTGTACAAGCAAAAATCTTATGGATCAAACTCATTATATTTTATCATAAATAGATACAAATGTGTATATTCTATGATTTTAAAAAGTAATACTGATAATTCAGAGAAGTTATCAGGTATAATTCAGAAAATATCCTTGCAGAAAAACTAAGAATAGATGTGGGTGGGGAGTATGAGCGTGGCAGGATAGGGGATCCCAAATATCATATTATGACTGATGGGAGAGAGACAAAGAGAGACCTGGAGAAAATCAGCTGTAACTGGCTCCATCCTGAAGCTGTCATCTTTTGGCAAAGTTACAAGGATGTCTTTTCATTGCAATGTGCAACAGAAAAAAAGAGTTCTCTGCTAATAACTGTGGTGACAGTGATCTAATGAAACACATAGAAGCAGCAGCTTGCAAAGGAAACAGTCACCAAAAAGAGAAGACTCTATCTTCCTTTGTTATTAAATAGATAATATATGCCAGAATGGCGCAGTCAATTGACTTCCTTTAATAAACAAAATCTATTTGATGGGTTGTGGTAAGACAGTGTATAAAGTCAGATAAAGCAGCACCAGATGAAAATAAACACAAAAGATATAATTTCTGCCCAGGACATTTCATACAGCCACAGGTCACTTATGACTCATTGTTTTATAATATGTACATCTCTCCAATGCATCCTATTAATTCCTCTTTTGAAAATTTAATCCCTATCTTGGAGATTACAAACCACTGTCATGGTAGTTCATCAAAAAGGTATCAGACAAAATAGCACCACCAAAGGTTAGAAGAGATAGAGCTCTTCAAGGACCCAAGAGTCACCATGACTCTGAGGACATGTTTCTAATCACTCTGGAAATAAGAAGGAACTACAAAATACAAAGCTTTACTCAATACTACTCAATAGTTCTGCTTCGTTGCTCCCAACAACCCTGTGTTTCAGATCTGCCACAATACCAGCCAATCCCTAGATATACTGCAGATACACTTTCCAGCTTCTCTGCCTGTATAGATATTATTCTCTTCATAAGAAGCCCTTTGTCTTATCCTTCAGCATGCAGCTCATCTGTTAGATCCTCTCTGAATCTTCCATTTTTCCCCCACTCACACCATTGAATTCTTCTGAGCTGCTTAGTTTGTACTTAGCTCTCACAGAAACTTACATTGCAATTGCTTGCTTTGATAGCAAGTGTTTCACTTTTAAAGTGGTTCTTGTTTAATATATTTATGTTTATTATATGCATGCATCTTTCCACAAAGATCTTGAAGTGGCTTATCATAAAAGAAACTGACATCAAATATTTACATAAAAATAGAAAACTAGGACCAGAGAAAAGATGAATATAAAAATGTCGAATCTAAGAACAACAAAGTTGTCCTGCTGAGGTTTCAACTATTTCTGTGAGCTTCTTAGAATCTGCTGTAAAAAGATTCTCATCAGAAAGGAGGAAACTATTATTTTCCTTGGTTCTTCAAGGGAAACAAAATTATTCCCAACTGGCATATAAAACAAAATTCAGTGTAGAAGATTATATGTAAAAGATATTTGTCTTAGTCTATTTTCTGCTGCTATAACGGAATAACTGAAAGTGAGTAATTTATCAAAAAGAAAAATGTACTTTACTCATGGCTCTGGAGGCTGGGAAGTCCAAGCCGCAGCTAGTGAGAGCCTCCTTGTGATGAACAGTGGAAGGGCAAGGGAGCACTCATGTGAGATCAAGAAAGAAAGGGGCTAAACTTACCCCCTTTTTTTAATCAAGAATCCACCCCCAAGGTAACTAACCTGCTCCCAAAATAATTATCAATAATTAGTCCACTGATGAGACCAGAGCCATTGTGACCTAGTACCTTTTAAAGGTTCCAGCAGTGTTGCATGGGGGATTAAATTTCCAATACCTAAACTTTGGGGGACATATTCAAGCCATAGTGACTTTAGTCCACAACAAAGGCAATGTTCTCGACATGATGGACCATAATATCTCAAATGAATTTCAAATTATTGTTTCTTATCTCTATATTCAGCATAAATAGAGCTCATAAGTTTAAAATGCAACATGGTGTTGGTGATTCTACAGTACTCTGAATCAAGATAAGCTAACAATTAGCCTTCTGATAATTTAGTTTGCTACAAAAATAGAAATCCTATAGGGCCAATATTTAAAACAGGTTTTCCTAAGTACTTTCTTCAGGCGTTCTCTTACTAACAAAAGTCAGAGCTCACTAGACAAGCATTTTCAACACTGTGTGGGTATTTTCTTAATAAATAGGAGAGTGAATTGGAAAAATAATTTGGGAAGCACTATTTTAAACAAAATTAAACTCATTCATTTTCTATTGGAATTCTCAGGGAAGTAAATTTGCTAATATTCATTATAAAATCCCAAGCAGATATTATAGTTTATTGCAATTCCAAAGTTTATGTGACACACAAATGTATATGACATGAAAAGAATCTTTTAATTTTTTTATATAACTTGTAACACTTTTGCCAAAGGCATCTAAGGAACATTGGACTAAGCTACAGTGTGATGCGCATTTAAGGAAAGAAAGTATCAAGTTGTTACACATCTGCCTAGGTAACTAACACTGTACCTGAAACCACAAAAATAAAAATTTTAAAGGTAGCAACTGAAGGTTAGGAAAGAAAACCATAATTAAATATCATACATCGAATGAGTTTAGAGAGAGAACATCATGCTGAGGCCTCACAACCCAGACTACTATATAACCAACACTGATATAGCTCTTACCATGTTCCAAGCTGTGATCAAAGTGCTTTGATTAAAACAACTCACTTAATTTTCCCGACAACCTTCACATGGGTACTTTATCTCCATCTAACAGATGAGGAAACTGAGACATACTGAAGTTAAGTAACTTGCTCAAGGCCACACAGCTATGAGTTGGGAAGTTGGAATCTGAACCTGGGCATTCTAGTTCTAAAGTCTATGCTCTTAACTACTACCATGGAAGGTATGAAAAGCCTGGACCAAATGATAGGATAACTTGGCAACTTGGCTTTAAAGCTAGAGCTGTAAAGAGAAATAGGTGGTCCAAAAGACAGAGTCCAATAGGTGAAGGAAATTCATAAATGGTTTACATTGTCATCAACTAGAGAGGTAGATTACAGGCAATATTTGAAACCTACTGGGAAGCACTGTCATATTCCAAGAGACCATCCCTTTGTGGCCACAGACATCTGGGTTCAAAGCCTGTCTGACTTCAATAGCTAGAGAAACTTTTATGGGTCTCAGTTTCCTAATACATAAAATGGTGATATAATAGCCTACCCTGGAGAGCTGTTTTGAAGATGGAAAAATCTGGGTAAAGCACTTTACATGGTGTCTGACATAAGCTGGCACTCACTGGAGCATGGCTGTCATCATCAGTCAAGTCCTCGTGAGGTAAGCTTGTTTGGCTCCACTTTGTAGATCAGGAAAGTATAGAGACAGATTTCAAATAACTTATCAAAGGTCACACAGCTTGTGAGAAGAGAACAGATTAATACCCTGCTCACTTGACTTGAAATCCAGTGTTCTTAGCTCACTGGACCACAAAAAAACAAATGATGCTGCAGTTCCTAGTCCATTTGCTGCAATAACCTAAAAGACAGACAGCATTAGCAAAAGGCAAACGAAAGAAAAAATATACTAAGGAGACATGATCAATCTGTTAGAGAGGAAAAGGTGAAGAAAAAGCTGTGCATGGCAAGAGAGAAAAATCTAGAGCTGATAAAGAATTCATGGCCATGATGAAAGATTTATAGAAACTCATGCAGAACGCCTTGTGAGGGTTCAGAGAGAATCCTGATGTGATAAATGGTTCCTCAGCTCCTGATGTGAGTTTCTACCCAGGTGCCTACACACTGATATTCAGATTCAGGAGCCATTCTTTCTGTAAATGATTGTAGTTCACTTCCAAGACTTTCCAGAAAAACTTTTACATGTGTGGAAATAGATTGGAAATAGCCAAATGATTCTCCTTGCAGGAATTCATCACTCAGTTTCAACAACAGCAGCAGCGCTACAGTTTAGGGAAGAATGATGGTCTTTTCCACTTGACCCAGGATTTTAAAAGTAGCTGAAGGATTTTTTCCCTAACGTCTCTCCATGTAAGTGCCACTGAAAGTACTAATTTAGAAAGAAATACTTTTGAATTTAGCCTAAAAGATAGCTGCTTCCTCATAGCCATACATTTCTTCTTTTTCTTTTTATTTGTTTATTTATTTATTTTGAGATAGTGTTTCACTCTTGTTGCCCAGGCTGGAGTGCAATGGCGCAATCTCTCGGCTCACCGCTACCTCTGCCTCCCAGGTTCAAACAATTCTCCTGCCTCAGCCTCCCGAGTAGGTGGGATTACAGGCACGTGCCACCACGCCTGGCTAATTTTGTAATTTTTAGTAGAGACGGGGTTTCTCCATGTTGGTCAGGCTGGTCTCGAACTCCCAACCTCAGGTGATCCACCCTCCTCGGCCTCCCAAATTGCTGGGATTACAGGCGTGAGCCACTGCGCCTGGCCTTAGCCATACATTTTTTTCTAAACTGTTGCTGGGCTGACCTAGCTTCAGTCCACTAGCCACAAGCTAGAATGTGGAAATATTCCTGAAGCATGCATTTCTTTAGGCCAGACATATTTTGGTGGAAATGGATGATTCTTTGAAAAATCTCTAGGGTGCTTAAAATGTTCCTAAAGAATTGCACTGTGGTGCTATTCTATACATTTTCAAAATCACATTTACAGAAAAGTGGAGGAAAGGACTGATAATAATACAATTAACAAGCCTAAACTGGGTAATCAACATTTTTTAAAAAATCAGACAGTTAAAATCAAATAACTTAGAATTAGTAAATGTCGATGTTTTTCCTTTCCAGAGTAATAAAGGGAAATTTCTAGCTTCAAAAATGCATAAATCATTTTGTTGATAGATATGTCATGACGATGATGGAGGATTTACAGAGCCTACTCAATTAAACCATATTTATCGTTTCAATAATGTTGCTCATAAAATAACCTAAGCTTCAGTTACCTGTCTATAAAGGTGATGGAGGATAAGAGGAGGTTGGCTCTCCAGTTCTAAAAGTCCATCATTCAATCCCAACTGACAGACAAAAAGGAACTCTATAAAATTAACTGGCATCTGGAGGAACACACATAATAACCCTGGGAAAAATTATTATAAAGAAAGGGTTGTACTTTTTCTTAGCCAAATCTAATCACTCTTATTTTTCTTTAAGAAAACTTCGTTTCCACTGTAAAAGTATTTGTAGGCCAGGCGCGGCGGCTCACGCCTGTAATCCCAGCACTTTGGGAGGCCGAGGAGGGTGGATCATGAGGTCAGGAAATCGAGATCATCCTGGCTAACACGGTGAAACCCCGTCTCTACTAAAAATACAAAAAAAATTAGCCGGGCGTGGTGGCAGGCGCCTGTAGTCCCAGCTACTCGGGAGGCTGAGGTAGGAGAATGGCGTGAACCCAGGAGGTGGAGCTTGTCGTGAGCCCAGATGGCGCCACTGCACTCCAGCCTGGGCAACAGAGCAAGACTCCATCTCAGACAAAAAAAAAAAAAAAAGTATTTCTAAATATTCAGTTCATTAAGAAATAAACATGTCAGTGAAAATTAAATTCATTGAGTTTTGCTAAACATTTTGATATTTTTATTTTGTTTTTTATTTTCAAAAATAAATTTTAACAGTTGGGTTAAATTTTTTCCTCAACATTTTTATATGATTTCATCTGTGAACAAAAAAATTTTAAACAAAGCCATATTTATCAAAGTACAAAAAAACAGATTGTTAATATTAGCACAATCAAATTAATGCCTTCAGTATAAACACCAATGACATCATTAATCTTATAAAATAGCCCTGTTAAAATGACATAAAGTTTTGAGTTTCTCAAGTGGAAGGGTAGAAACAGTCTCCAACTCTCAGGAAACTCTAGGATAAAAAGTGAAGAACAGGGAAAATTCATTCAAGATTTTTCGTCGATGGCATTCTTCAAGCAAAATATGTCAGACTTCTCCATTTTCTGTTTAGAGCCCATTGTCTAAAATGAGAAGAGGAGGTAGGCCAGGACTGAATTGTAGACACCACCATGTGGAGACTGTCTTCCTAGGCCTGAGTAATAAATCTAAAGTGCAATTTCCAAGGTCAGCTTTCTCTACTCACTCCTTCAGCAAAGATACCTTCCTTTCACTAGACCCCCATAATGGGCAGATATCTCAAATCCCTAAGCAACTATTTGCATTTCAAGAGAAAGTGAAACCCTCTCACCTAAAGTTCTTTCCTACATACATAGTCCTGCTATAGGTAGTACAATTACATACTTTGACACTCTATGACATTAAATAGCAAGTCACCTCTTTAAGCTTTAATTTTGTCAAATAATAGTAAGAATTGCATGGAGGCAAAGTGAAAGTTAAATGAGGTCATCCATGTGCTTGACATAATGTTGGGTACATAATAAGAACTCAGTTAAATATTAGTTACTATTACTGATAACATTTATGTAGGAAAGCACTTCCTAAACTCTACTTTATAAAAATCTATACTTGTAAATGATTATTGCAACATCCTTGCGAGGTAGAGCTTGTCACTTAAACCCCATTTTATGGATAAGGAGTTAGAGGCTTAGAGAGAAGTTATATAAATTATTAAATTTAATGTAGAAAAACAAAAGGCAAATAGGTGATACAATAGGAACCCAAACCCAGGGGTTTTACTCTATAGGCCCCAAACCCTTCTCATTACCTTATTTTATGAGATCTCTTTGTCTTTCATTGACTTTGAGCTATCTTACAACTCTGAAAATCATACATAACCAGTAACAATGCAAATAATACTTATCAATAAATACCCAAATGGATTTTGACTGGTATAGGTGCATTTATTTTTCTTCTCTCCTGGCAGAAGAAACCAGTTTTGTATTTATTAAGCAAATTCATTTAAGCATTCTATTGCCTATAAATATTTCTACTCTGGAGTCTCCTTTGAACCAGTTGTAACATCTTACTGGTTTCCTCACTAATTAATCAGTTAAATAAAATCATTGGCATATGTTCATTTTATTTTTGTGGAAGAGGGGAAATCATGCTGTTAATTTTTGTTTGTTTGGTTTTTAATTAACCTTTAATACAGGGGAGATTTTGACCAATTCTCATACCCTCCTTGGAGCACAGGGGAAGCCTTCCTGGGGAGTCACCAACGTGCAAACTTTGGTAGCAGAAAGATGACAAATATTGAGCTTGATTCTCAGAATGTGTAAACTGTTCTCTGTTAGTCACTCTAGAAAACTATAGTAACTTTTACTCTTATAGGTCTCCGTTGAGAAACAAATTTAGGCTTTTGTTCCACAGGTTCAGAGAGAAATAGCAGCAAGACAATCAGAACAACTTAATGAGGTCCCATTGGCCTTCTCTCTTAACTTCTCTCCTTTCAATCCCACAGCATTTACAGAAAACAGAATGGTCGCTGCATTAGCATTCATCTCTACTTTGGCTCTTAACTGACCCTACTCACAGCCAATCACTTGGAGTAACTTTGCTTTTTCTAAAGTCTAGCAACCTGGATGCAAACAGAACAGAGCACCCACTGTAGATTCATGCTCCCTTGCAAACCCAGGACAGAAAATGCTGAGCCCTCAGGAGGCAGCCCTTCTGTTTTCAGCCTTGCAGTAGGAAAGGAAACCCTGCTCTCTCCCCACTACCATGGTGTTCCATTCCATGCTTCATGTTGTCCACATATTCCAGGAGGGGTGTGGAGCCTTTGTACTCATTTATAAGGTAGGGGAACAGATGGGGCTGGCTTAATTTGCAAAGACAACTAGTTATAAGTACAGATGGAGTAAGTAGCACAATTATTACCAAAGAACTGGGCTCTGAGGCTGCCAGATGGTTTGGTTAAAAAAAAAAAAAAAAAAAAAAGAAGGCTGGCTGCCAGATTCACAGCAGGGACCATCCTGCTCCCGGGATATTGAAAATCATACAAATTTAAATCACCCTGGCTACTTCTCTAGTACTCTGTTTCTCCACAAATCTAGCCCTTCTCTGTAGCTGCACAGGAAACAGGAAAAAGTCAGATTACCAGCTGATCAGAATGGCACATGAACAGACTTCCCAAAGGTGAATGTGAAAAAAGGGAAAGATTGCTTGTCCATAATAGAGGTGGTGTCAGAAATCTGCTTTTTCAAAAATAAGAACTAAGCTCTAAAAGGAGCACACGGGTGCAAGGTAGAGACTGTGTTCTTTGTTTTGTTTGTGTGTTTCCCAAGTCCAGTGCTTACATTTAGAGCTCTTCCTTTTTTGGCAGTCTCCCCAAAATGAGATCTTCCTGACTCTCTACTGAGGCTCAGCACTGAAAGCTGTGTCATTGGTATCTCCTGGTTAAGTTCACTCAAAGTACCAAGCTAATTAGTCTGGCAAAGTAAAGAAACATTTTTGAAAAAGAGAAAGTTAGTCTGCACAAACTCCAGATGGTTGATTAAGCAATCTGAGCCCTGTGGCTAATTTTATCGTTTCCAGGGAGGACAGCCTTCTTCATCCTGCACCAGCTCCTCTGTGGATCACATCCATTAATGGTGATGATGGAGAAAGGCTTCTGAACAGCAACTGAACCTTGAAAGTTAATAATCCCACAGTACTTTTTTCTTAATATTGTAGGTGCTATTCCTTTCTTCGGTTTGTTGTCCCAAAGGGTTAGCTGTGGTTATGTGAGGGTCTGAAAGTATATACCTGCACTGTGGGCAGAAGCCATGAACACCAGAATCTTCTAGGATCATGTTCTTGTGAGACTGGTATCTGGAAGGTTTTTTGATGTGGCAGGGCTGGAACTTGATGTAGACATTACAGAATGATTGTCAAAGATGTTTTACATGTCTCAGAGCCTTTCATTCTTGTCTTTGTTTTCTAATCTTAGGTTCATTTGGGGAAAGCATTTAAAAATTATTAAGTGAGCAACTGCTTCCTTCTCATAAACCTCTGCATACTGGCTTTTTCATTCAACAAGTGTTTATCAAATCATCTTCCTGTACCAGGGACCTCTGCCATGATAGAAATATAGTATAACCATGCAATTTGATTCTAAAAGCAAAAAGATCAGTATTTGAATCCCATCTCCCTATTTACTGGACAAATAAGCAAGTTAGTTTATATCTCTAGTCTATAGTTTCCTCAGTTATGAAATGAGAATAATAATAGTACCTATTCCCTCTTGCTGTTATTACAACATTCAAGGCCAAGATACAGCATAAATATAGCTAACAAAGTACCTAGCAGGCAGAAGTCACTCAGTCATCAAATAAAAGATTTCTGTGCTGTATGTATAAACATTCTATTCTATTCTAAGCTCCATCTGGCCTCCTTCCATCTTTCTGGCTTCAAAAAGTTATAAAGTAAATGTCTTGAGGGTCTATTTAGCCCAGTATTTTTAAAGTTGTCTGTAGGTCATTATTAGACCAAGAGAATACACTTGACCAATGTATTAGTCCATATTCATGCTGCTGAAAAAGACATACCTTATACTAGGAATAAAAATAGGTTTAATGGACTCACAGTTCCATGAGGCTGGGGAGGCCTCACAATCATGGCAGAAGGCAAAAGGCACTTCTTACATGGTGGTGCCAAGAGAGAATGAGAGAGAAGCGAAAGCAGAAACCCCTTATCAAACCATCAGAACTTGTGAGACTTATTCACTACCATGAGAACAGTATGGGGAAAACTACACCTGTAATTCAATTATGTCCCACTGGGTCCCTCCCACAACATGAGGGGGATTATGGGAGTACAATCAAAATGAGACTTGGGTGGGGACACGGAGCCAAACCATATCATTTCCCCCCGGCACCTGCCAAATCTCACGTACTCACATTTCAAAACCAACTATACCTCCCAACAGTCCCCTAAAGTCTTAACTCATTTCAGCATTAACTCAGAAGTCCACAGCTCAAGTCTCATCTGAGAGAAGGCAAGTCCTTTCTGCCTATAAGCCTATAAAATCAAAAGCAAGTTAGTTACTTCCTAGATACAATGGGAGTAAAGGCATTGGGTAAATGTCATTCCAAATGGGAAAAAAATGGCCAAAACAAAGGAGCTACAGGCCCCATGCAAGTCTGAAATCCAGCAGGGTAGCCAAATCTTAAAGCTCCAAAATGATCTCCTTTGATTTCATGTCTCATATCCAGGTAATGCTATGCAAAAGATGAGTTCCCATGGTATTGGGCAGCTCCACCCCTGTGGCTTTGCAGGGTACAGCCTCCCTCCCAGCTGCTTTCACAGACTGACATTAGGTGTCTGTGGCTTTTCCAGGTGCACCATGCAAGGTATCGGTGGATCCACCATTCCGGGGTCTGGAGGACAGTGGCCCTCTTCTCACAGCTCCACTAGGCCCCAGTAGGGCCTCTGTATGGGGGCTCTGACCACACATTTTTCTTCTCCACTACTGTAGCAGAGGTTCTCCATGAGGGCTCCACTCCTGAAGCAAACTTCTGCCTGGGTATCCAAGCATCTCCATACAGCCTCTGAAATCTAGGCAGAGGTACCCAAACCTCAATTCTTGACTTCTGTGCACCTGCAGGCTCAATACCAGGTGGAAGTTGCCAAGGCCTGGGGCTTACAGCCTCTGAGGCCATGGCCCAAGATGTACCTTGGCTCCTTTTAGCCATGGCTAGAGCAGCTGAGATGCAGGGCAACAAGTCCCTAGGCTGAACACAGCAGAGGGGCCCTGGGCCTGGCCCATGAAACCATTTTTTTCTGCTAGGCCTCTGGGCCTGTGATGAGAGGGGTTGCCATGAAGATCTCCGACATGTCCTGGAGACTTTTTCCCATTTGGCTCCGCCTTACTTATCCAAATTTCTGCAGCCAGCTCGAATTTCTCTGCAGAGAATGGGTTTTTCTTTTCTACTGCATTGTCAGGCTGCACATTTTCTGAACTTTGATACTCTGTTTCCCTTTTAAAATTGAATGCCTTTAACACACCCAAGTAACTTCTTGAATGCTTTGCTGCTTAGAAATTTCTTCCACCAGAAACCCTAAATAGTCTCTCTCAAGTTCAAAGTTCTGCAAATCTCTAGGTCAGGGGCAAAATGCTGCCAGTCTTTTTGCTAAAACATAACAAGAATCACCTTTGCTCTAGTTCCCAACAAGTTCCTCATCTCTATCTGAGACCACTTCATCCTGAATTTCATTTTCTATATCATTATCAGCATTTTGGTCAAAGCCATTCAACAAGTCTCTAGGGAGTTCCAAACTTTCTCACATTTTCCTTTCTTCTTCTGAGCCCTCCAAACTGTTCCAACCTCTGCCTGTTACCTAGTTCCAAAGCTGCTTCCACATTTTTGGTTATCTTTTCAGCAATACCCCACTTTTGGTACCAACTTACTGTATTAGTCCGTTTTCATGCTGCTGATAAAGACATGCCCAAGACTTGGAAGAAAAATAGGTTTAATGGACTCACAGTTCCACGTGGCTGGGGAGGCCTCACAATCATGGCAGAAAGTGAAAGGCACTTCTCACATGGCAGTGCCAAGAAAGAATGAAAGAGAAGTGAAAGTCAAAACCCCTTATCAAACCATCAGATCTCGTGAGACTTATTCACTACCATGAGAATAGTATGGGGAAAACAGCACCCATGATTTAATTATCTCCCACTGAGTCCCTCCCATAAGATGTGGGAATTATGGGAGTATAATTCAAGATGAGATTTTGGTGGGGACATGGAGCCAAACCACATCACCCAGTAATTGTCAAGGAAGGAAGCATGATTTTAAAATTTGGGGGAACAATTTTGCTGTTCTAATGTGATCTTTCAAAAAAGTATAGACATTGAAACATATTGTTTTTCTATAATTTACTTTGTTAATACTTCTTTATATTTATTATATCTGTTAAGGTAACATATTGATTTTATAAGAATACACAAAATTAATTTATATTACCTAAATTTCATTTAAGGATAATAAAGAGAGCATTAAATATATTTGTTATAAATAGGATGCCTTAAGCCTGGTAAAACTGAAAACAGTTAAACCGTATGTTTCTTAGCTAAATTCTTTTCATTGTTCCTGCTTTCGTATCTGCACCCATGTTCTCTAATGTCCTTACTACATTTCAACTTTGTTATCCAGAAACCAAGATTCTTGAATTAATTTTTTTCATCCATCCCAACACTCAAACTGGACCCTGGCATTGCCTGGGAAGCTGAAGGGCAATCTCACCCTGCCTCACACTTGTTCCAGTTATGATCACAGCACAAAATACTCAGGTCTATACTCCCCAGAACTTTACTCCAGGTTATTTGTGCCTTCTCCTCATTGGCTCATTTTTCCTCTGCTAACTACATGCCCCAATATTTTGATACCATACATTCCAAAATACTAACAAATTTCTTACACTTTCTGTGGTTCTTAATGGGGCACTTCTGGAACCCATTCCTCCCCTCTTCCATGATGACAGTTCCTTCACCTTATACCATACAATTCATTAGTCACATGATTATTCTCCTAGCTCCTCAATGCTAATCTCACCCTCTCAAAATTTCATCTTCTTTTAGAGTTGATGTCCCAGTAGATCACCCTCACTCCTTGTTGGTGCTGTCACCTAATGTTGTCCCTGGCATATCTCACACGTTCTTTGTGTAGCAAGATAATTATCTTCCTTATTGCCATTATTTTTTCCCACCATTCATAATTTTCTATATAGTTTACACAAGGACAAAACAGATATAGATCAAATGAAAAAGTCAATTGAAATGTCTGAAAGAGACATAAAGTCTTAAAAGTGATAGCTTTTTTAGCCAGGCTCTTGAGAAAGAGAAATGTTATTGAATTCTAAAAGCTTCCTTTAAATATGAAGAGACATACTCTGGTCAACATAAAGCATAGAGTTTATAACACAAGCCAGAGAGCCTAAGCTTATGGAAACTAAAGAAATAGAGATGTCTTATGCACAAGTGCTATGAAGGAAAAAACAGGGTTCTATAGAATAACAGACTTCCCTAATTTAGATTGGAGGGACAGGGAAAACTACTTAGAGGAAGTAACCTGAGATAAGAAAGATTTGTCAGTATTATTCTAACTAAAATTTATGTAAAAAAGCCTAAGTTATAAGCTAAGTGGACATTGGAGAGTGCTGAATGAAAGGGATATCAGATTGAAGAGTCAGTGGGAATTTGAGGACCATTTATTCATTTACTCAACAAATACTTCTAGAGTGATTTCTATATGCCATAGATTGGTCTATGTATTAAAGATCCAGTAGTGAGCAAAACAGATAAAAATCCGTGCTCTCACAAAGCCTATATTTTGGTGACAAGAGATGGCCAATATACAAAATAAATTAGTAAATTATAGAAAATATAATTCTAAGGAGATAAATGAGTTCAGGAAGAGGGAAAGAGAGTATGGGTCACTGTTTTAAATAGGACAACTAAAGAATACCTCATTAAGAAAGAACACTTTGGGGGAGGAGCCAAGATGGCCGAATAGGAACAGCTCCGGTCTACAGCTCCCAGCCTGAGCGACGCAGAAGACGGGTGATTTCTGCATTTCCATCTGAGGTACCGGGTTCATCTCACTAGGGAGTGCCAGACAGTGGGCACAGGCCAGTGTGTGTGCGCACCATGCGCGAGCCGAAGCAGGGCGAGGCATTGCCTCACCTGGGAAGCGCAAGGGGTCAGGGAGTTCCCTTTCCGAGTCAAAGAAAGGGGTGACCGACGCACCTGGAAAATCGGGTCACTCCCACCCGAATATTGCGCTTTTCAGACCGGCTTAAGAAACGGCGCACCACGAGACTATATCCCACACCTGGCTCAGAGGGTCCTACGCCCACAGAATCTCGCTGATTGCTAGCACAGCAGTCTGAGATCAAACTGCAAGGCGGCAACGAGGCTGGGGGAGGGGCGCCCGCCATTGCGTAGGCTTGCTTAGGTAAACAAAGCAGCCGGGAAGCTCGAACTGGGTGGAGCCCACCACAGCTCAAGGAGGCCTGCCTGCCTCTGTAGGCTCCACCTCTGGGGGCAGGGCACAGACAAACAAAAAGACAGCAGTAACGTCTGCAGACTTAAGTGTCCCTGTCTGACAGCTTTGAAGAGAGCAGTGGTTCTCCCAGCACGCAGCTGGAGATCTGAGAACGGGCAGACTGCCTCCTCAAGTGGGTCCCTGACCCCTGACCCCCGAGCAGCCTAACTGGGAGGCACCCCCCAGCAGGGGCACACTGACACCTCACACGGCAGGGTATTCCAACAGACCTGCAGCTGAGGGTCCTGTCTGTTAGAAGGAAAACTAACAACCAGAAAGGACATCTACACTGAAAACCCATCTGTACATCACCATCATCAAAGACCAAAAGTAGATAAAACCACAAAGATGGGGAAAAAACAGAACAGAAAAACTGGAAACTCTAAAACGCAGAGCCCCTCTCCTCCTCCAAAGGAACGCAGTTCCTCACCAGCAACAGAACAAAGCTGGATGGAGAATGATTTTGACGAGCTGAGAGAAGAAGGCTTCAGACGATCAAATTACTCTGAGCTACGGGAGGACATTCAAACCAAAGGCAAAGAAGTTGAAAACTTTGAAAAAAATTTAGAAGAATGTATAACTAGAATAACCAATACAGAGAAGTGCTTAAAGGAGCTGATGGAGCTGAAAACCAAGGCTCGAGAACTACGTGAAGAATGCAGAAGCCTCAGGAGCCGATGCGATCAACTGGAAGAAAGGGTATCAGCAATGGAAGATGAAATGAATGAAATGAAGCGAGAAGGGAAGTTTAGAGAAAAAAGAATAAAAAGAAATGAGCAAAGCCTCCAAGAAATATGGGACTATGTGAAAAGACCAAATCTACGTCTGATTGGTGTACCTGAAAGTGATGTGGAGAATGGAACCAAGTTGGAAAACACTCTGCAGGATATTATCCAGGAGAACTTCCCCAATCTAGCAAGGCAGGCCAACATTCAGATTCAGGAAATACAGAGAACGCCACAAAGATACTCCTCGAGAAGAGCAACTCCAAGACACATAATTGTCAGATTCACCAAAGTTGAAATGAAGGAAAAAATGTTAAGGGCAGCCAGAGAGAAAGGTCGGGTTACCCTCAAAGGAAAGCCCATCAGACTAACAGCAGATCTCTCGGCAGAAACCCTACAAGCCAGAAGAGAGTGGGGGCCAATATTCAACATTCTTAAAGAAAAGAATTTTCAACCCAGAATTTCATATCCAGCCAAACTAAGCTTCATAAGTGAAGGAGAAATAAAATACTTTATAGACAAGCGAATGCTGAGAGATTTTGTCACCACCAGGCCTGCCCTAAAAGAGCTCCTGAAGGAAGCGCTAAACATGGAAAGGAACAACCGGTACCAGCCGCTGCAAAATCATGCCAAAATGTAAAGACCATCGAGACTAGGAAGAAACTGCATCAACTAATGGGCAAAATCACCAGCTAACATCATAATGACAGGATCAAATTCACACATAACAATACTAACTTTAAATATAAATGGACTAAATTCTCCAATTAAAAGACACAGACTGGCAAGTTGGATAAAGAGTCAAGACCCATCAGTGTGCTGTATTCAGGAAACCCATCTCACGTGCAGAGACACACATAGGCTCAAAATAAAAGGATGGAGGAAGATCTACCAAGCGAATGGAAAACAAAAAAAGGCAGGGGTTGCAATCCTAGTCTCTGATAAAACAGACTTTAAACCAACAAAGATCAAAAGAGACAAAGAAGGCCATTACAGAATGGTAAAGGGATCAATTCAACAAGAGGAGCTAACTATCCTAAATATTTATGCACCCAATACAGGAGCACCGAGATTCATAAAGCAAGTCCTGAGTGACCTACAAAGAGACTTAGACTCCCACACATTAATAATGGGAGACTTTAACACCCCACTGTCAACATTAGACAGATCAATGAGACAGAAAGTCAACAAGGATACCCAGGAATTGAACTCAGCTCTGCACCAAGCAGACCTAATAGACATCTACAGAACTCTCCACCCCAAATCAACAGAATATACATTTTTTTCAGCACCACACCACACCTATTCCAAAATTGACCACATAGTTGGAAGTAAAGCTCTCCTCAGCAAATGTAAAAGAACAGAAATTATAACAAACTATCTCTCAGACCACAGTGCAATCAAACTAGAACTCAGGATTAAGAATCTCACTCAAAGCCGCTCAACTACATGGAAACTGAACAACCTGCTCCTGAATGACTACTGCGTACATGACGAAATGAAGGCAGAAATAAAGATGTTCTTTGAAACCAACGAGAACAAAGACACCACATACCAGAATCTCTGGGACGCATTCAAAGCAGTGTGTAGAGGGAAATTTATAGCACTAAATGCCCACAAGAGAAAGCAGGAAAGATCCAAAATTGACACCCTAACATCACAATTAAAAGAACTAGAAAAGCAAGAGCAAACACATGCAAAAGCTAGCAGAAGGCAAGAAATAACTAAAATCAGAGCAGAACTGAAGGAAATAGAGACACAAAAAACCCTTCAAAAAATCAATGAATCCAGGAGCTGGTTTTTTGAAAGGATCAACGAAATTGATAGACCGCTAGCAAGACTAATAAAGAAAAAAAGAGAGAAGAATCAAATAGACACAATAAAAAATGATAAAGGGGATATCACCACTGATCCCACAGAAATACAAACTACCATCAGAGAATACTACAAACACCTCTACGCAAATAAGCTAGAAAATCTAGAAGAAATGGATAAATTCCTAGACACATACACTCTCCCAAGACTAAACCAGGAAGAAGTTGAATCTCTGAATAGACCAATAACAGGCTCTGAAATTGTGGCAATAATCAATAGTTTACCAACCAAAAAGAGTCCAGGACCAGATGGATTCACAGCCGAATTCTACCAGAGGTACAAGGAGGAACTGGTACCATTCCTTCTGAAACTATTCCAATCAATAGAAAAAGAGGGAATCCTCCCTAACTCATTTTATGAGAACAGCATCATTCTGATACCAAAGCCGGGCAGAGACACAACCAAAAAAGAGAATTTTAGACCAATATCCTTGATGAACATTGATGCAAAAATCCTCAATAAAATACTGGCAAACCGAATCCAGCAGCACATCCAAAAGCTTATCCACCATGATCAAGTGGGCTTCATCCCTGGGATGCAAGGCTGGTTCAATATACGCAAATCAATAAATGTAATCCAGCATATAAACAGAGCCAAAGACAAAAACCACATGATTATCTCAATAGATGCAGAAAAAGCCTTTGACAAAATTCAACAACCCTTCATGCTAAAAACTCTCAATAAATTAGGTATTGATGGGACGTATTTCAAAATAATAAGAGCTATCTATGACAAACCCACAGCCAATATCATACTGAATGGGCAAAAACTGGAAGCATTCCCTTTGAAAACTGGCACAAGACAGGGATGCCCTCTCTCACCGCTCCTATTCAACATAGTGTTGGAAGTTCTGGCCAGGGCAATCAGGCAGGAGAAGGAAATAAAGGGTATTCAATTAGGAAAAGAGGAAGTCAAATTGTCCCTGTTTGCAGACGACATGATTGTTTATCTAGAAAACCCCATCGTCTCAGCCCAAAATCTCCTTAAGCTGATAAGCAACTTCAGCAAAGTCTCAGGATACAAAATCAATGTACAAAAATCACAAGCATTCTTATACACCAACAACAGACAAACAGAGAGCCAAATCATGAGTGAACTCCCATTCACAATTGCTTCAAAGAGAATAAAATACCTAGGAATCCAACTTACAAGGGATGTGAAGGACCTCTTCAAGGAGAACTACAAACCACTGCTCAAGGAAATAAAAGAGGACACAAACAAATGGAAGAACATTCCATGCTCATGGGTAGGAAGAATCAATATCGTGAAAATGGCCATACTGCCCAAGGTAATTTACAGATTCAATGCCATCCCCATCAAGCTACCAATGACTTTCTTCACAGAATTGGAAAAAACTACTTTAAAGTTCATATGGAACCAAAAAAGAGCCCGCATCGCCAAGTCAATCCTAAGCCAAAAGAACAAAGCTGGAGGCATCACACTACCTGACTTCAAACTATACTACAAGGCTACAGTAACCAAAACAGCATGGTACTGGTACCAAAACAGAGATATAGATCAATGGAACAGAACAGAGCCCTCAGAAATAATGCCGCATATCTACAACTATCTGATCTTTGACAAACCTGAGAAAAACAAGCAATGGGGAAAGGATTCCCTATTTAACAAATGGTGCTGGGAAAACTGGCTAGCCATATGTAGAAAGCTGAAACTGGATCCCTTCCTTACACCTTATACAAAAATCAATTCAAGATGGATTAAAGATTTAAACGTTAGACCTAAAACCATAAAAACCCTAGAAGAAAACCTAGGCATTACCATTCAGGACATAGGCGTGGGCAAGGACTTCATGTCCAAAACACCAAAAGCAATGGCAACAAAAGCCAAAATTGACAAATGGGATCTAATTAAACTAAAGAGCTTCTGCACAGCAAAAGAAACTACCATCAGAGTGAACAGGCAACCTACAACATGGGAGAAAATTTTCGCAACCTACTCATCTGACAAAGGGCTAATATCCAGAATCTACAATGAACTCAAACAAATTTACAAGAAAAAAACAACCCCATCAAAAAGTGGGCGAAGGACATGAACAGACACTTCTCAAAAGAAGACATTTATGCAGCCAAAAAACACATGAAGAAATGCTCATCATCACTGGCCATCAGAGAAATGCAAATCAAAACCACTATGAGATATCATCTCACACCAGTTAGAATGGCAATCATTAAAAAGTCAGGGAACAACAGGTGCTGGAGAGGATGTGGAGAAATAGGAACACTTTTACACTGTTGGTGGGACTGTAAACTAGTTCAACCATTGTGGAAGTCAGTGTGGCGATTCCTCAGGGATCTAGAACTAGAAATACTATTTGACCCAGCCATCCCATTACTGGGTATATACCCAAAGGAATATAAATCATGCTGCTATAAAGACACATGCACACGTATGTTTATTGCGGCACTATTCACAATAGCAAAGACTTGGAACCAACCCAAATGTCCAACAATGATAGACTGGATTAAGAAAATGTGGCACATATACACCATGGAATACTATGCAGCCATAAAAAATGATGAGTTCATGTCCTTTGTAGGGACATGGATGAAATTGGAAACCATCATTCTCAGTAAACTATGGCAAGAACAAAAAACGAAACACCGCATATTCTCACTCATAGGTGGGAATTGAACAATGAGATCACATGGACACAGGAAGGGGAATATCACACTCTGGGGACTGTGGTGGGGTCGGGGGAGGGGGGAGGGATAGCATTGGGAGATATACCTAATGCTAGATGACACGTTAGTGGGTGCAGCGCACCAGCATGGCACATGTATACATATGTAACTAACCTGCACAATGTGCACATGTACCCTAAAACTTAGAGTATAATAAAAAAAAAAAAAATTAAAAAAAAAAAAAAAAAAAAAAAAGAACACTTTGAACAAAGACCTAAAGGCAAGGGAGTTAATAACAGGGGAGATCTGTGGAACTATGTCCTGGAAAGATAAAGCAGCAAGTACAGAGACTAGGAATTGAAGGAAGATTCTGTGTGCTCTATGAAGCAAAGAAGCCAGTAAGGCTAGAAAAGATGCACATGGAGGAGAGAGGGGATGAAGTTAGGGAGCTAATGGAAGAAAAATCATGCAAAGCCTTATAGACTGCTGTGAGGACTTCATTTTTCTTTTTCTCTGAGTGAAATGGTAAGCCATTGGAGGGTTCAGAGCACAGAAGTGCCATGATCTGACTTATGTTTAGACAAATCATCTTGGCTCTGTGTTGAGAGAATGGATTTTAGGTACAGGTAGGAAGACCACGTAAAATATTATTGCAACAATGCAGGTGAGAAATTGATGGTAGCTTGGATCTGGGTGGTAGTAAAAGAGATGGTAAAAACTAGACACATTTTAAAACATGATTTTGTGATATGGTAGATGTATCTTGTGAGGAAAAGAGAGAAGTTTAATGACTCCAAGTTGGCTTTATTTGTTCCCTCTAAACAACTAGAAAAACAAGGTCACTAAGAATGGAATTGTAATTTACTCAGTTTGAGAAGACTTGGTTGGAAGGGGTTTAACAAGCAAGAGTAGTATGAGGCATGCCAAGCTAACTATGACAAGTAAACATCTAGTGGAGAAGTTGTGGCAGCAGTTAGATAAAGCAGTCTGGGGTTGAGATGAGAAGACAAGATTGTAGCTTTAAATTTGGGAGTCATCAGCATCTGGATGATATTTAAATATATGATATTCAGTGAGATCCCTAAGGATATGTGAAGGAAGGAAGGGCTGAAACTTAGGACATTCCAAAGAGAGACCAGCAAAGGAACCAGCAAAAGCAGTTGATGCTACAGAAGAAATGGACAGTGTGTTGCATTAGAAGCAAAGTGGAGAAAATGCTTCAAGATGGAGGGAATTAATTACTGTTCAATTGCTTAAGACTACTTAAGTAAGAAGGCTGAAAACCAATCATTGGTTCTGCAACATGGAGATGATCTTTTACCTTAAGAGGGTAATTTTGTTGAAATGATGGGTGCAGAAATTTCAATGAAATGAACTTCAGAGAGAGTAGGAGGAGGAAAATTGCAGACAGAAAGCTTAGAGAACTCTTTTAAGAAGTATTCCTGTGAATAGGGATCTGAAAAGTGAGACTAGCTAATAGGGATCTAAAAAATGGGGTATAGAGAAAAATGGGGACAAAAATAACAGCATTTATGCCAACTAATTAGAATGAACCAGTTAAAGAAGAAAAACTGATGATGCAGGAGAAACAACAGAGAACTTATAGGGAAATGTTCTTAAAAAGAGAGTGTGAGTAGACAGTTGGCAGAAGTGTCAACCTCTGGGTGGAGGATAGACAGTTCATCTGTGGGAAAATGAGAAGGTTGAGCACGTGGGTAAGGATACTGCAGGTGTGAAGGTGGGAACTTGGGGAAGAGCGTATATCTTATGTTTCCTAAAAAATGTGTCAGTATCTCTTGAGCAGGACCACTATGGATTCACCCTTCATAGTGCCAAAACTTCACATAATAGAACCCCAACAAATTGATCTTTAAGAAGAATAAAATGCTACACACTATATATACATAATGAACACACACATGCACACACATACGCTATATCTGTGTGTACACAATTCATCCTTCCCACAACTTCAGCAAAGAACAATGTCCTCAACCCCTATGATTGTTAAACACCAAGTTCAAGTGTACAAAAAACTCTGAAAGTTACATAGCCTTCTCCCTATGTCCTCATATTTTAATGACTTGACACTTTAAGCTTGCCTCTTACACAATGTCATTTTTATTTATGAAATAAGCTTTGCAAAGCAGACTCCAAATCTTGTCACATGTAATGATAGCTCTACATTGTTTTAAGATAATCAAAACTGAGTCCACATAATTATTTATTTATTTAGCATTTGCCCTATTGTCAGTTGAAAATGGATTGGATACTTTTTAACTGCTTGGCCAACCAAGTAGGAAAATTAAACTAAATATATTGGCTCAATCTATTTAGGAAAAATATCTAATTTTCTGAATGAATAGGTTGACTTCTGTTTCTGGAAGTCTGGCAACTGGATACCCTAATGGACACTCCCACTGTAAAGAACTAAAAATGCTGAAGAAATACGTTTTAAAATTTGTCATGTATCAGTGAACTAGAAAGTAGGAAAACTCAGAAATAACCAAAAGCAAAGTGAAATCAGCTAAGCTGAGCCACAGAACCTGAGCTTTGTCCATGAACTTTGTTTTTCATGGACACAGACATTGGAAGACAAGGCTTGGGGTCAATCTATAATGTAATAGAAGGCCACGTCATTTAATCAGGGATTCTCATGTAAACTAGGGTTTCCAGGGAAAGGAAAACTAGAGATTACCCTCAGGGTCTTAAAAGGAAAACTGATTCCCTTGAACTTTTGCACTGAGTAGATGGGGATAAAAATTTCTCTTGATAATTTGAGACCTCAAACTGGTCTTTATAGGCTGATATCACAATATGGATAATGTGAAAAATCTTAAGCTAAGAATTTAATTATAAGTGAGCTCATATTTGTAGTGTCTTCAGGTGCCTGAAATAAGCAAACACAAATCTTCTTTGAGGAACATACTTCCTTCACAGATCTCAAAGAATTATTAGGAATAAAGTGTTTTAAGAAATATTACTATAGTCTAAAATCATCTAACTGTCAAGAAATAAGATACTATGAGGGTGAGCCACCAAAAACAAAAGACAACAAAATCAGAACAGAAAAAATTGTAACTTGAAAATATCAAATTTAGACAATAAAGTAAGTATGTATTCTATATGTAAAAAATAACATAAGAAATAAAAAATATGAAAAAAGAGTAAGAGGCTAGGTCAGTGTGGTGGACTAAATACTCTGAAGGGCTCTCCCACTACAAAATAACAAGTCTTCCACTAACTATAATTTTTATACATTACAGGTTTGCAGAAGATAAAGGAAATTCCCAAGCAAAAACAGTATCAAAAATATTAAAGTAACAGTCATAAGTGTTAAATATATGCATAATGCAAAGTGGTCATCAGTGCAACTGCCAGTTATTGAAAGACTAATCTTTGAGATAGCAGCAAGTTGTTGGAGCTGAATCTGAGTCATCAGGAAAATCAATGGAAAGGATCAAAGAAGTTCAAAGACAGAAGATTCCTGTTGTTGTTAAATGAAGCAAACATTAAATCTCTAAATGAAGCAATAATTAATTTTAGCTCCTATTGTTTAGCACAGATTAAAATCAACTAAGACTGGACTCAAAATCAAAGAATAGCAAGTACATATGAAAACATTATAGAAGGGTAATAGCTAATAACACAGCGATCGTCAAATGTAGATCTTAGGCATATAATGTTTAATAAGTATGTATGATATATTTTTAAAAATAAACAATGGACTAAAAATGATGAGTATGCAATAGGGATTATCCCACATAATTAGGTAGATTTAAAAATTAATAGCTAGAACAATTGTATTAGTCTGTTCTCTTATTGCTATAATGAAATAACTGAGACTAGGCAATTTATAAAGAAAACAGGTTTAATTCAGTTCCTGGTTCTGCAGGCTGTATAGGAAGCATAGTGGCTTCTGCTTGGCTCCTGGGGAGGCCTCAGAAAATTAACAATCATGGCAGAAGGTGAAGCGATAGCAAGACGTCTCACGTGGTGTGGGCAGGAGCAAGGAAGTGAGGGGAGAGGTGCTACACACTTTTAAACAACCAGATCTCAGGATAACTCACTATCACAAGAACAGCACCTAGGGGATGGTGCTAACCCATTCATGAGAACACCACCTCTATGAGCCAATCATCTCCCACCAGGCCCCACCTCCAACACTGGGGATTACAATTCAACATGAGATTTGGGTAGGAACACAGATCCAAACCATATCAACAGTATATAATCATTATTTTTTTAAAGTGTAATGGTTGGGGTTGAAAAGCACATTATCTACAGCTGAAGAGATAGTTAGAAGCAATTGAACTGAAAAATGCAAAATAGGGTATGGAAGCTAATAAAGAGAGATTAAGATATATGGAAGACAGAATGAAAAGGTCTAACATGAAGCTAACTGCAGGTCTAGAAGGAAAGAATAGAGAAAATAAAGACACAATGTGTGGCTTTAATGGCTTATGGCTTTCTAGAACTGACAAAGGGCATGAATTAATGATACATGAACCCCACTTACTATGATGAATAAATAAAAGGAAATCCACATCTAAAAATATTGTACTGGCCAGGCGTGGTGGCTCCCGCCTGTAATTCCAGCACTTTGGGAGGCCGAGGCAGGCAGATCATGAGGTCAGGAGATCGAGACCATCCTGGCTGACACGGTGAAACCCTGTCTCTACTAAAAATACAAAAAATTAGCCGGGCATGGTGGCGGGCGCCTGTAGTCCCAGCTACTTGGGAGGCTGAGGCAGGAGAATGACGTGAACCCGGGAGGCAGAGCTTGCAGTGAGCCGAGATAGCGCCACTGCACTCCAGCCTGGGCGACAGAGTGAGACTCTGTCTCAAAAACAACAAAACAAAACAAAACAAATTGTACTGAAACTGCAGAAAATGAAAATGAAAACATAGAGAAGATATAAAAAGAGTGAGAAATAAAAGACAGTTTACCTAGAAAGAAAAGACAAATAGGCTGATACCATGCTTCTTAATACCAACAATAGAAACTAAAAATAACAATATATTCAAATTGCTGAGGGAAAATGGCTATCAAGTCCTACTTTTGCACCCAGAAAATCATAATTTTTAAGAATAAGGGACAAATAAATACAGCACATGATTTTTTAAAGTATTTTTATGCAACATTCTTATGTTAAAGGATATCTAACATATGTATTTTACTAGAAAAGGAAATTATCCCAGGAAGAACTTTTAAGATCTAAGAAAGCATGATAAGCAAATAATTTATAAGCTTGTAAATAAATCTCAAACGCAAAATAACATATATATCGGGATAGTAATAAAGTGTTTTAAGGCCCTTGGATTACTTGGGGGAGGAGCTAAAGTACTAACTCCTGAGTTTGTTAAGTAAAGCATGCACAGAAACATTTTAAGGTTAACCACGAAAAAGCAGTAATAGGCTGTATAATTTTCACACTAGTAGAATGGAGAAAAAAAGGACAGAAAAACAAACAATAATCACAACAAAACTCAATCAATGGTAAAAAAACAAAGGCCAGAAAATAAAAAGAAAGATGCTGGGAATAAATTAAAATAAGTGAATACTCATAATAAATACAAATGAACTACAGATGTCATATAAAAGAACCAGACTGCAGAATTTAAATTAAAAAAAAAAAACACTTTATGCTGTTTAAGAGAAGTACCAAGAACATAAGAACAAAAATAATTGAAAATGTAAACATGGAAAAAGACACCAGACAACTCTAAACAAAAAGCACAATAATATAATATTAACAGACAAAAAAGATTTTAAAAATGCTTTTATGAGTTGAACAAATTACTACATAAAAGTAGATGGTTCAATTCTCTAAGAAGATATGATAACATTAACCCAATTCATATAATAAATCTCAAATTATGCAAATAAATTTTGATGAAGGAAGAATGGACAAATCCATCATTAAAATGGAAAGTTCCAATACAACTCTCTCAATTGAATAAACAACCAAAAAATAGTGAAGATACTGAATATTTGAAAAACACAATAAGTTTGAATTATTGGACATAAGTTCTTATTTACGTGATTAAAGAATACACGTATTTCTCAGTGCACCTGAATATTTATAAAAATTGTGGCATAAAGCAAGTATCAAAGAATTTGCATCATACAAACTGTTTGCTCATACATCACAAATATCTTAAAAGTTAATTTTAAAATTCTTAAATTCTATGTTGGAATTCAAAATCACACTTTTAAGTAGCTTATGAATTAAGAAATTATAAATAAATTGTAAATGTACAAGAATTAGACAAAAATGAAGATATGATATTGAAATTTATGAAATGCAAATAATATGTTACTTAGAAATTTGTAGACTTAAATGCTTACATTAGAAAAGTAGAAGGTATGTTAGAACAAAAGATGAAATAAATTTGGGTGCGGTCTATTGGTAAAGGACAATTTAGGCCAAAAATGACAGAGATGATAATGAAAGATTATATTACAGAATTTATTAATTTTATCTGTTGTACATTACAGAAGAATTGAGCCAAAGTCATTTAGGACATTTTCTATAGACCCTAAAAGAAAGTCAAAAATCTGGCAAATCTCAATTGAAATTAACAATCCATTATGTGTATTAATATTAAAGGCAGCTGGCCATAAAAGAGCAATATAGATTTTATAAAGTATCAGGACTTACTTAATTGCATAAATATTGTTTGTCTCAAAGTAGTTACACCTAATATAAGGAACAATGAAGTAGTGATTGCTTTAAAAAATAATGTGATGGGTTTCAGCTTCTGGAAATAGCCGAATAGATCCTAACAAACCAAACCTCCTGCCAATAACAACTATAAATTCTGGGCAAAATATAATTTCAGTATCCATAAAAAGGAATGAGATCATGCCTTTTGTGGGAACATGGATGGAGCTGGAGGCTATTATCCTCAGCAAACTAACGCAGAAACAGAAAACCAAATACCACATGTTCTCAGATATATGTGAGAGCTAAATGATGAGAACACAAGGACACATAGTGGGGAGCAACACATTGGGGTTTGTGGGAGGGCCTGGAGATGGGAGGAGGGAGAGGAGCAAAAAAATAACTATTAGGTACTGGGATTAATTCTCGCATGATTAAATAATCTGTGCAACAAACCCCCACGAAATGAATTTACCTATGTAACTAACCTTCACATGTAACCTTGAACCTGAAATAAAAGTTTTCCAAAAAACTTCCTGGAGGCACTGGAGAATGAACAAAAGCAGGCAGATAATGGGTAAGAGGAAGGGCAAATTTTTGGAAGAAGGGAATAGCATAAGCGAGTTTCCCTTTTTAATAGAAATTTAGGAAACTGAGGGCAGGCCCTAGTCAGTTTAAATGGGGATATTAAAAAAAAATACACTGTTTTACCAACAAGATGAGCCAGGAATATGATGCTTATAGCGTAATATACAGAGAACACTCAAAGACTGAAGAATTCATGAGATATTTTTAAAGGGGATAGGTTGATGAAATAATCGTACAAAAGTGACATTGATTGTTGTGGACCTACTAAACATTAAGCATTGTGAAAAAATACCAAGTTAAATCTGGCACTGGTTCCACCCTCAAGTAGCTTATGGTAGGTAATAGATTACTGATCAATCCTATCAGTAAGGTACAGATTAAATTCTGTGAGCTTTCAGAGGAATAGATCAAACAAGGTTTTGGACAGATGAAAATCTGAGATGTCCTAAACGATGAAAAGTTTTGGATTTTGTAGAGAAAAGGGGAAGGTTATTGCAGGAGGAAGGACCAGCATAAGGAAAAGTTGAAGCAGTAAAAAGCAACTAGGAGACTGGGAATAGTAGGTAGTAAAATAGAATAGCTAGACCTGAGGATAAGTGAATGTTAGTAATAGGAAATTGTTTTGATAAGGTGGTTCATATCACTAAAAGCTTTTAATACCAACAACAAAAAGTGACCAAGATGCCCCCATCTCTTGAAACCCTAACATGCTTAAAAATTAACCGCTAGAAAGGAATCTTTAATTATTATGATTTTTAAGGAACTCATATCTCTAAATAGAGAAAAAGATAATAAAGTAGCTATGATTTAAGTAAAGATGTAAAAGAAAAAATTGTTATTAGATTTAAATCATACAAAAATATAGTCTAGTGATGAGTGACATTAGGAAGAAAGAGTTACATATATAAAGAAGAAAATTTTTAAAAGATAATATATAGGAGGTATGAACTAGAGGGCACAGACCTCTTCCAAAATCTTGACCAGAAACATCAGACAGAGAAACATTGTCCACTCAAGTCTGAGAGCACGTGATAGGTTTGTTCCACATGAGCCTTATACCTGTAGATGTGAGCCAAGGATAGAGGGAAAGAAAGCAGGAGAAATAAATATTCCAGTGTACCAGGAAATTAATCATTCCAGAGAAAATAATCAAATAGTATAAAAAAAAATTTCCCTCAGAAGACTTACAAGATACTGCATAATTTAGGTCACCTAAACAGCCTAAATAATCCACGTCTGATGTTTTCAGGTGCTTTCTGGTTATTGCTGCAGATCTCATTCCTGAATTAAAAGCACAATAATATGTTTATTTGTGGGGTACCTACATTTTAATGCTGCCTACTCAGTCTCTTTCTATTTTATGTTCATTACTACACAGAAGATACCTCTTCTGTAAGGCATCCCAGACAGTTTTGTTTTTACACACACACACACACACACACACACACACACACAGTATTGTTCTGGGGGTGTTACTGCTACTGAACAGGGGAGTCATGACAAGCAGAGCATATGATGACTGATAAACACTGTCTAATGGAATTACCTCTCGAGAAATTGTGGGTAATCTAATGAAACTGTTTGTTACAAACAGTCCAGGCACCTCCATGGTGGCACGATGCCCAGTTTCTCCATTGCCAGGAAACATCCATTCTCAGGGGTGGGGGAAGGAAGGGATCTGGTTAGCAAGGTCTGCTGATTTTCCCCTCTGTCTCAAATGCCTTCTCTTTGACATAGGTATTACTGTAACTTCAGGGATGCCATTAGGGGGTAACAGATATATATATCAGCAAAAGAAACTATGATCACCTTTTTCTGAAGACTAAATCAAACAAAAGTCAACCACATACACAAAGAACCCCAAACACACAGACATAGTCTGTGCCTCTCTAAGTTACCCAGAGATCTCCATCTAAAGAAGGCAGTGTGGTGGGTCTCTGCCTTCCCCTGCCATCTAGTGCTAACATAAAATGATTGTCTTTTATTTTGTGTTTAATTTTAGAAATATTTTCTTAGCTTGCAAGATTTAATTCAAGAGCCTCCTCCTCTATTATGCCATTCTAAACCTGTGTGTATCCATTTATGGGCAGATGGACATGTCCCCCAGTTTGTGCCGTGTATAAATAGATTCACTCCTATTGACAGAATTTTTTTTTTTTTTGAGACAGAGTATTGCCCTGTCCCCCAGGCTGGAGTTCAGTGGCACCATCTCAGCTCACTGCAACCTCCGCCTCCCAGGTTCAAGCAATTCTGCCTGTGCCTCCCAAGTGGCTGGGATTACAGGCATGTGCCACCATGCCCAGCTAATTTTTGTATTTTTAGTAGAGATGGGGTTTCATCATGTTGGCCAGGCTGGTCTTGAACTCCTGACCTCATGATCCACCCACCTTGGCCGCCCAAAGTGCTGGAATTACAGGCGTGAGCCACCGTGCCCAGCCTTGACAGACTTTTTTAAATGTCAATTACCTACCTCCCTCCTTGGATATCTCAATGTTATTCACATTTTGACAACATGAAACAAATAAATACAATAGGAAACCATAGATATCATGGTTCACATGTAAAGAGAACGCCACTTGAATCCCTTTTACTTGCTTTGTCCATGTGTCAGAACATATCATTAATCAATATTAGTGAGTTCAACCTTAATTTAACATGTATTGAGTGCAGTCCTAGGCACAGTGCTAGCAGTAGAGATTCACCAATGAGTGAAACACAATTTCTACCCTAAATGAGCTTAACAACTAGTGGAGAGTTGTAAGACAGAGAGGTAACACTATAAGGGCAGAGACTTTGTTATTGTTTAGGTAGTTCACTGATCCATTCCCCAAACCTAGAATAATGTCTGGCACATACAAGGTGAATGAATGAATAAATGAGGAAAGTACAGGAGGCTGTGACGGTGCATTGGAGAGGCAGTACTGGAGGGCTCACCACTGCTATACCTTCAGAATGCCACTCTGCCTGCTGGACTGGCCTTGCTATGTGTCCCTGAAACCACAGTCTCCTCACCTTGCACCATATACTAGCACTCAATATTTTTAGACACCTGTGCTGTCTGCTTTGCCCCTGAACACTAAGCATGACTATGCCTACAACATTACTGAAGGTACAGTACCATGATGACAATGATTATCAGGGAAAATTTGATAAGTAAGTATCAGCTTGAAAGCAAAAGGCAGCATGACACAATGGTTTCTACCACCTCTTTATTATGTGCCAGGCTTGAGTCATAGCCAAAAGTTTCAGTAGGTAGCAAAGAATTAGAGGATTTCATCATGTCTGCCTGTAAGCTCTGTTTATCGTTTTAGTACATTTATTAATATATTAATACATGGGGTTGTATATTATAGAAGGGAACAATTTCCTTCCTGTATCCAAATTCCTTTGTATCCTGCAAAATAGGAAGTATTGAGAAAAAGCCTCTGTTATTCCCTACACCACCTCTCTTACTTTTTCCATAGGAAGAAATCATGAATTATTTAACTAAAGAGATTGTTAAAGAAGAAGTATGAGTGCACATAGCTCTACCCCTTTTTTGGCTCTCTTTGGAGAGAGCTTGCCCCTAGGAAGTACACATTCTTACTTCCTCGAGGGTGAAAGGTTACTCAGGCTAAGCAGGCTCTGTTCTTAAAGGAAAACATCGAAGTCTCTACCTTGTAACAATGTAGGTTAGTAACCTACCATAAAATCCTATGAAGATTACTGAGAGCCCATTTGAACCTCAGATGTAAATTAGATTCTCCATTAAATTTTAGTGGGAATCGGTGGATGATTTGACCCTAAGTGATGCAAACCCCCCAAATATGAGACAGTTCTCAGTTAATTTAAAAAGTTTGTTTTGCCAAGGTCAAGGATGCACACTTGTGACACAGCCTCAGGAGGTCCTGACGACATGTGGCCAAGGTGGTAGTAGTACAGCTTGGTTTCACACATTTTAGGGAGACATGAGACATCAATCAAAATGTGTAACATGTACTTTGGTTCAGTCCAGAAACGGGACAACTCAAGGTGAAGGCGGGACAACTTGAAGTGGGGAGGGGGCTTCCAGGTCATAGGTAGTTAGGAGAATTTGGTTGCATCTTTCAAGTTTCTGATTGGCCTCTCCAAATGAGGCAATCAGATATGCACTTATCTCAGTGAGCAGAGGGGTGACTTTGAATAGAGTGGGAGGCAGGTTTGCTCTAAGCAGTTCCCAGCTTAACTTTTCCCTTTAGCTTCCTGATTTAGGGGGCCCCAAAGTTTATATTCCTTTCACAGTGATGAAAGTATCTATTTATCATTTTTTTCAGAACGTGGAGAGGGGAGTATAATTAGTTAGTTGGCTTCCTTAGGATCCCAGTGCCAATGACCAGGAATCTAATATTAACTGAGCACTTACTATATACAAGCAGTTAATGCTGGGTAATGTTTATGTAATTTGATATTCCACTATTTTCCAAATGTAGAAACTGAGGTATAGAGGGATTACATGGGTCCAAAGTCACATAACAAATCTAGGGCAAGTCTGTATAAATGCAGAGCCTGTGCTCATTCCTTTATACCACTGTGCCTTCTATTTTTCTAATGTGCTAAAAACATCACTTGGCATATCATTTAGCTTAAGAGGCTGGGAGCAGGAGGGGAAGAAAAAGAATATTATATAAGAATTATATTAAATTTGAATTTGTGGGCAAGAGGTTCTGGGACAAATAATGATCCTGTCAGGCACAATAGATCATAAGGTTTTCATTGAATTTTATAAAATAAAAAGGGTAATTAAATATACTTGAATAATGGTAATATGTGGTAAAATGCATATCAAGAATTATAAATCATAGTCATATTTATTTAAAAGACCTTGTAAAAGATTCCATGTCTTTGAGGACATAAGTGTTTAAATCCTAATTTGGAGCCCCAACCCCTAAGCTAAATTAAATAAACTTGCTTAATAGGGTGACAAAGTAAGCTAATATGAAAGAGCTCAAGTACATTTCACATCTGCATCTACAAAAATGCAGTAAGTCTTAGACACTGCTGGCAGAAGTTTTCACATGCACTCTTATGCAAAATATCACATTAATAAACAGTAATGAGTAATCTAGCTAACTCCACTTTAGCTAAGAAAAGGTTGAAAGGAGTTTAAGAAAGAATAAAACCAGAAGATCAATGCAGCTTGAAAAAAAAAAAAATTTTACCAGCCTATATACTTGAGAACTTCCTAGGTACTACACGTGGTGATCATCTTACTTGTTTCATGTAAGTCACAACAAAGAAGTTTGTTGTTTTGCAGAATCACGTTCTATCACTTAACTGGTTGGCATGGCTATGTGGAAGGCATTCTCCATTGCAGGATTCCAGATCTCATTTCTTACAAGACCTGAGGAAGTCATCTGGAAATTGCTGTCTTTTGCTGATCATACCTTTCTTGAAGTATCTGTTCCTCTCTGCTACCAAGAATAGTGACGCTCACTCCAAGTAGTTATCAGGTGAAATAGAAGAGCCTCTGAAATTTATCTATGCATACTTTTCTTATCAAATATATTTTTAGAAAATCTTTAAAATATTTTTTCTTGAAAATTATTGGAAAATTCCATCATACTTTATAAGAGTACACAATGTTTATCATCTAATTTTCTGAAGTAAAAAGAAATCATTATATACTGGCATTTATGCTACCTCCTTATCCTACTCATCTTCTGCATGAATAAGCATTCAAGTGATACTGTATTATAATAACCATAATACATTAAATAATTTCAAGTGAGGGCAGATCAGATTTGTTTGTTTTCCCCACAACTTCACCCTCCAGCAACATTTAATTTAGCAGTACCAAATGCATTGGCATTGCTCAAATATATCTAACTATATCTATGTTTAATTTTTATGGCTTTACCTACATCAGAATGTGTTAACTCAGATGGCATATCACTATATGCAGACAGTGGTATACTTATATGATATCACAGAATATTTTATATACATTCTTAAATGCATTATCAGCAGTAAATTAGGTATATTGGTTAACAATTTCTGTGAAAATACTTCATAACAAAATATCTCAAAAGTCTGTGGCTTAAAACAACATGTGTTTATTGTTGCTTAAATGTCTGTGTATTGGCTGGAGCTCAGTTGGTGGAGCTGGGCTCATGGGGTCGCTCTGCTCCACACTGACAGCAAGTAGTCCTTGCCTGTTCCCTGTGCCTTTCATCTTCCTTGGAGTATCAGGCTGTCCAATCCATCTACTGCTCATAGTGAAGGCACAAAACAGAAAGAAGAAATCATGCAAAGCCTCTTGAGATCTAAGGTCCAAGGTGATTCCATGTTGTTTCTTTCTCATTCTATTAACCAAAACAAAGCATGTGGCTCAACCTAAAGTGAAAAGGTGGGAAAATAATTTTCTCTCCATTAGTGGGAGGAACTGCAAGGTCACGTGACAAAAGGTCTTGATACAGACAAGAATGAGGCCAACCATGCAGTCATCTATCAACATTAGGTATTTCTTAAAATTCAAAGCTTTCACCATTTGACATTGCAGCTCTAGACCCCCCCAAAAATGGCTACATTAATCTATTCAACAAGTTTATTAATGTATTTAGTTCCTACTGTGTGCCACACAAAACTCTTTGTTCTGGATGTTCAATAGGAAATGAAACAGACAAAACTTCCCATGCTCATGAAATGTACATTATAATTGAGGAAAGAGAGGAAGAGAGCCTTATTAACAATGCAAGAGAGAAAGAAAGAGAAAGAAATGACTTGGATATAAGCAGTAGAACAAAAGAACAAAAATGAATCCAATCAAATAACTCAAGCATGAGGCTTAAAATCCCTGGGCCATGTCAGTATTATCACACTTCTGTCTTGGTACCAATGGTTCTGAGCACAATTCTCAGCTCTACCACTTACCAGCTGTATGATCTTGGGCTACTTATTATCCACTCCAGGACCCAATTTCTGCAAATAGAAATAATAAGTATGACTCTGTTGTTTCTTGACATTTTAATAATCGCCATTCTGATGGGCATGAGATGGTATCTCATTGTGGTTTTGATTTTTCATTTCTCTAATGATCAGTGATGTTGAGCTTTTTCATATGTTTGTTGGCCATGCAAATACCTTCTTTTGAGAAGTGCCTGTTCATATCCTTTGTCCACTTTTTGATGGGGTGATTTGTTTTTTCTTGTGAATTTGTTTAAGTGCCTTGTAAATTCTGGATATTAGACATTTGTCAGATGGGTAGGTTGTGAAAATTTTCTCCCATTCTATAAGTTGCCTGTTTACTCTGATGCTAGTTTCTTTTGCTGTGCAGAAGCTCTTTAGTTTAATTAGATCACATTTGTCAATTTTGGCTTTTGTTGCAATTGTTTTTGGTGTTTTAGTCATGAAGTCTTTCCCCATGCCTATGTCCTGAATGGTATTGCCTACGTTTTCTTCTAGGGTTTTTATGGTTTGGCGTTTTACATTTAGGTCCTCAATCCATCTTGAGTTAACTTTTGTATAAGGTGTAAAGAAAGGGTCCAGTTTCAGCTTCTGCATATGGCTAGCCAGTTTTCCCAGCACTGTTTAATGAACAGGAGATCCTTTCCTCATTGCTTGTTTTTATCGGGTTTGTCAAAGATCAGATGGTTATAGATGTGTGGTGTTATTTCCGAGTTCTCTGTTCTGTCCCATTAGTCTACGCCTCTGTTTTGGTAGCAGTACCATGCTGTTTTGTTTACTATAGCCTTATATATAGTTTAAAATCAGATAGTGTGATGCCTCCAGCCTTGTTCTTTTTGCTTAGAATTGTCTTGGCTATAAAGGGTTTTCTTTGATTCTATATGAAATTTAAAGTAGTTTTTTTTCTAATTCTGTGAAGAATGTCAATGGTATTTTGATGGGAATAGCACTGAATCTATAAATAGATGCTGATGAGGCTGTGGAGAGATAGAAACACTTTTACACTGTTGGTGGGAATGCAAAAGTTCAACCATTTTGGAAGACAGCATGGCAATTCCTCAGGATCTAGAACTAGAAATACCATTCAACCCAGCAATTCCATCACTGGGTATATACCCAAAGGAATATAAATCATTGTACTATAAAGACACAAGCACTCGTATGTTATTGCAACACTATTTACAATAGCAAAGTCATGGAACCAACCCAAATGCCCACCAGTGATAGAAGGGATAAAGAAAATGTGGTATATATACACCATGAAATACTACGAAGCCATAAAAAGGAATCATGTCCTTTGCAGGGAGACGGATGAAGTTGGAAGCCATCATCCTCAACAAACTAACACAGGAACAGAAAACCAAACACCTCATGTTCTTACTCATAAGTGGGAGTTGAACAATGAGAACACATGGACACAGGGAAGGGAACATCACACACCAGTGCCTGCTGTGGGGTGAAGGATGAGGGGAGGGAACTTTGGGGACAGGTCAATAGGTGCAGCAAACCAACATGGCACACGTATACCTATGTAACAAACCTGCACGTTTTGCACATGTATCCCGGAACTTAAAGTAAAATAAAACAAAAACAAAAACAAACGAACAAAAATGTATGACTCTTATTTATCATTTTGCAATTAGTTGATCATAACTGAATAATCTGGGTGGGCGAAATAGTAGTAAAGTAATTCACCACACCTTGGAGCTTCAGAGTAACTGTAATCTTGCTTTTGCAACCAACTCAAGGGTAATATAGAGAAATTGACCCTTCTGTACTAGTTTACCACACGGTAAAATGGGACTAAGAATGCTCCCAGCATAAAACATAGCTAATAAAAATGGAAAATAGAACTTAAGAGTTACACAAACTTTCAGGAATCCAGTGTTACTAATAATAATTTTATAGTTGTAGTGATTAAATTTCTAGAGAGTGATAACAAAGCCAAGTATTTTCTGCATTGTGTAAGTAGGCTTCCAAGTTAGAATTTAAAAAGTTATAAGCTCAAATAAAATAAAAACTTGTCGTAGTGGCTCAGTTTAATAACCATTTTAGTTATTTTTGTTAGCTCAGCAAACAGATAGATGTTAATAAAGATAAAAGTGTCTCCACAGAAATAGCAACAAAAAGATCCCCCTTGTAGTTTTAAAGAAGTAATTGAGACAAGGGGTTCATTGGTTCTGGGTTCAAGTCTCAGCTCTACCACCAACCAGCTGCATGACCTTGGGTGAGTTTTTACCCACTTCAGGAATCAATTTCTGTAAATTAAAATAATAAGAGCAACATACAGTTATTGCAAGGACTAGATGTGGGTAAAATATACAACCGTTTGTGTTTACTATCCTGCCTAAATCCTGAGGAAATAGTTGCAAAAGTCCAGTTACAGAATAATAATAATAGCTAACATTTACTGAAGGCTTTTAGATGCCAGGTGCTGTGCTCAGCACTTTGTAAGAATTATCTCAGCAAATCTTCAAAATAGCCTCATGGGAACACTATGGATTGAATTTTACAGATGTGTCTTAGAGAAAGTTACAACCTTGCCCACAGACCTTTGGCTGGCAAGTAGCAGAGCCAGGCATCCAATCCACATCACCTTGCCTTCTAAGTCCTTGTTCCTAGCCACCATGACGTACTGCCCCCTTTTTCTCCCCAAAAATGGAGTGATACTGGCCAGTAAAGGAGAATGATTCAGATGACAAGTAACTATTTTTAGATAGGCACTTATTCAGTTATTTAGTTACTCATTCAAAAAGCTGTTTAAAAAAAAAAAATTTAAGTACTGTTATATGTCAAAAACATAAAGATGACCAGGATTTAATTTCTGTCCTTGAGACACATTTTAGGGAATTGTAACCATTGCAAGATAGTTGGTATAAAATTTAGCAGGAAACTTCATAGACAAAATGATACTTGACACATTAACTGGATTTTTTGCATAGAGATAAGTCAGTACATTTGACCGAATTGTGTATGAAATGATCATCTTCAAGCCCATGAGAAGAAAACTGTAGCAAGTTGACTATCTAACCTGCAGAACTGTAATTAGAAAACTTGTGCCACAGTTGTTGGTCCTGCTCTAAGCACTAGATCAGAATAAATTGCATCTGTAATATATGGTCTTTGGTTCTTAATATTTATATTGATATAGCCATTCTAAAACCCAGCCATAGGATCTGGATTGGAACTTCATAGTGCGAGACTCAAATTTTACATGGCTCTGTGTACACCTGGGTTAATATACGTGGTAAGCATTACTAATGTTCATCAATATCCAGTTCTTCTGCCACTTTAGACACAAAGACTGCACTTCTGAGCTTCAAGGGGAGTAGAGACATGTGACTCATTACAGCCAATGAAAAGGGTAGAAAAGACATGTATCTCTCCTTTCCATGTTGAGAAGCAAAAAGCCTGTGAGATTTCTCCAGGATCTCTCTTCCGCCAGTACCACGGCGTTGGAGGCCACTTGTTCTTCTGTTGTAGCCGCAAGTAGATGGAGCTTCTGTTAGCCTGGGTTACTAAAAGAATAATAAAACTTTCTTATGCTATGACTCTAGGATTTGAAGATTAATGTCCCTTAAGCATAACCTAACTCTGACTAACACAATATAAATCCCCAGAGATATACATTATTAACAATAATATACAGTCAGACTAGTAATTGGTATGGAAAAGTATACTTTCTATGTAGAAAGAATAAACAGAAATAAAAACAGAAAGAAGGAGGTATACTGAAGAAATTTCAGATCTCATTGAAGCCTTGAAAAATCAAATCATTTCAGACAAGTTTTCCTTATGGTAGGTTTTTCAATATCTCTTTGAGTAGAATATAATTCTGGGTAACTAATTAACTTACTAAATAAATATGTATTGGGTTATTACCATATGCAAGTCAGAGAGCTAGTGTCAGGGATAAAAGAATAAACCAGAGACAGTGCCCACTCTCAAGAAGCTTAAAGTCTAGATTGGAATGCAGATAAATAATTAAGAAATTGTAATTCATTATAAAAGAGCAGTATTAGGGAAAGTATGGAGAATCCATAGCAAGGGCATTTTTCCAGACTGAGGGGCTGAGGGAAGCTGGGACCTAAGGGATTATTGTGAATTAGGCAAGCAGATTGTGATAGGTTTAGGAGCTACCTTAATGAAAATGATATGATTGATATTTATATTTTGATAATAATAAAATTGGATATGTCTCTTACTAAGTACCACTCACTGTATTAGAGTCAGGGTTCTCTGGAGAAACAGAACCAAAGGGTTCTGTGTGTGTCTGCACATGTGTGTGTATGTGTATGTGAAGAGAGAGAGAGATTTATAATAAGGAAGTGGCTCATGCAATTATGAAGACTGCCAAGTTCAAATCCACAGTGTGGGCTGGCAGGCTCAAAACCCAAGAGAACCAATGGGACAGTTCCAGTCTGAAGGCCAGCATGAAGACACCTAGAAAAGCCAACAGTGCAGATGAATTCTGAAGGTTGTCTACTGGAGAATTATTTATTATATGGGGGAAGATTGATCATTTAGTTCTATTTAAGACTTCAATTAATTGGGTGAAGCCCACTCTCATTATGAAGGGTGATCTGATTTACTCTACTGATTCAAATGTTAATCCAATCTAATGTTAAAGCCTACCAACTTAAATGTTAATTTCACCCAGAATTACCCTTTCAGAAACACCCAGAACAATGTTTGACCAAATATCTCGACACCCCTTGGCCCAGTCAAGTTGAAATATAAAATCAATCACCACACATATATAAGTTAATGTAATTATCACAGCAACCCTCAAAGTAGGCATAACTGTTACCATCCCTATTTACAAAAGGATAGATTTTCCAGAAAAATAAATGGAGATGAAGATTACAAACTGAAGGAGTTTAATAAGCCATGATACAGAGGTATAAAACAGTAATTCAGAATGACTATAGTCTAAATGTAGTGTTGGTAACAGTATAAGGAACAGGAAGGAAAGAAAAGGATGAAGCTGAACTTTCTTCTCCTCACCTAGAGAGCTCCTCTCCCAGGTGGCCAGTGTTCTAACTTGTTTTGGGCATTCCATCAAAGTTCCTCTACATGGAGAGACCTCCCCTGACCACCTGGATTTAGGCTGAACATTACCTTTATTCACCATCTTCTTTCCTATTTCATATTTAACAACCATATTACTAGTTGATGAACTGTATGGTTTTCTTACTTAATATCTTGCTTTGTCTCTCTCTCTCAACTAGAATATAAGCTCATTGAAGGCAAGGATTTCTGTCTGTTGGAATCTGTCTGGTGCTACTTTCCCAGCACTGAGAATACAGCCTGGAACATAGGAGGCATTCATGAAACAATGCTGAATGACACTTTTAGTTTTATTCAATTTTATTTTTATTTTTTAAATGTAATTTTATTTTATTTTAAATTTCGGGACACGTGCAGGATGTGCAGGTTTGTTATGTAGGTAAATATGTGGCTTGCTGGTTTGCTGCACCTATCAACCCATTGCCTAGGTATTAAACCCACGTACATTAGCTATTTATCCTGATGCTCTCCTTCTCCCAACCCCCATGACAGGCCCCAGTGTGTGTTGTTCCCCTCCCTGTGTCCACTTGTTCTCATTGTTCAACTCCCACTTATAAGTGAGAACATGTGGTGTTTGGTTGTCTGTTCCTGTGTTAGCTTGCAGAGGATAATGGCTCCCAGCTACATCCATGTCCCTTTTATGGCCGAATAGTATTCTATGATGTATATGTGTCACTTTTTTTATCCAGTCTATCATTGATAGGCATTTGGGTTGATTCCATGTCTTTACTATTGTGAATAGTGCTTCAGCAAACATACATGTGCATGTATCTTTATAATAGAATAATTTATATTCCTTTGGGTATATACCCAGTAATGGGATTGCTGGGTCAAATGGTATTTCTGGTTCTAGGTTTTTGAGGAATCGCCACAATTTCTTCCACAATGGTTGAACTAATTTACATTCCCCCCAACAGTGTAAAAGTGTTTCTAATTCTCCACAGTGTCACCAGCATCTGTTGGTTCAGGACTTTTTAATAATCACCATTCTGACTGGTGTGAGATAGTATCTCATTGTGGTTTTGATTAGCATTTCTCTAATAATCAGTGATGTTGAGCTTTTTTTTCATATGTTTGTTGGCTTCATGTCTTTTTTTCGAGAAGTATTTGTGCATGTCCTTCACCCACTTTTTTATGGGGTTCATTTTTTCTCTTGTAAATTTGTTTAAGTTTCTTGTAGATACTGGATATTCGACCTTTGTCAGGTAGATAAATTGCAAAACTTGTCTCCCATTCTGTAGGTTGTCTGTTGATACTGATGATAGTTTCTTTTGCTGTGCAGAAGCTCTTTAGTTTACCTATATCACATTTGTCAATTTTTGCTTTTGTTGCAATTGCATTTGATGTTTTCATCATGAAATCCTTTCCAGTGCCTGTGTCCTGAATGGTATTGCCTAGATTTTCTTCTAGGGTTTTTACAGTTTTGGGTTTTACATTTAAGTATTTAGTTCACCTTGAATTAACTTTTGCATAAGGTATAAGGAAGGGGTCCAGATTCATTTTTCTGCATATGGCTAGCCAGTTTTCCTAGCACCATTTATTAAATAGGGAACCCTTTCTCCATTTCTTGTTTTTGTCAGGTTTGTCAAAGATCAGATTGTTGTAGACGTGCAGTCTTATTTCTGAGATCTGTATTTTGTTCCATTGGTCTATGTGTCTGTTTTGGTACCAGTAGCATGCTATTTTGGTTACTATAGCCTTGTAGTATAGTTTGAGGTTGGGTAGCATGATGCCTCAAGCTTTGTTCTTTTTGCTTATGGTTGTGTTGGCTATGTAGGCTCTTTTTTGGTTCCATATGAATTGTAAAGTAGTCTTTTCTAATTCTGTGAAGAATGTCAATGGTAATTTAATGGGAATAGCATTGAATCTATAAATTATTTTGGGCAGTATGGCCTTTTTCACGATATTAATTCTTCCTATGAATGAGAATGGAATGTTTTTCCATTTGTTTGTGTCCTTTGATTTCCTTAAGCAGTGGTTTGTAGTTCTCCTTGAAGAGCCCCTTTACTTCCCTTGTAAGCTGGATTCCTAGGTATTTTATTCTCTTTAAGTCCGTTCATGATTTGGCTCTCTGTTTGTCTATTATTGGTGTATAGGAATGCTCGTGATTCTCGCACATTGACTTTGTATTCTGAGAATTTGCTGAAGTTGCTTATCTGCTTAAGGAGCTCTTGGACTGAGATGATGAGGTTTTCTAGATATAGGATCATGCCATCTGCAAACAGAGACAGTCTGACTTCCTCTCTTTCTATTTGAATATATTTTATTTCTTTCTCTTTCCAGATAGGACTTTCCAGAACTTCCAATACTATGTTGAATAGGAGTTGTGAGAGGGGGCATCTTTGTCTTGTGCCAGTTTTCAAGGGGAATGCTCCCAGCTTTGCCCATTCAGTATGATATTGGCTGTGGGTTTGTCATAAATGGCTTTTATTATTATGAGATGTGTTCCATCCATACCTAGTTTATTGAGAGTTTTTAACATGAAGGGATGTTGAATTTTATTGAAGGCCTTTTCTGTCTCTATTGAGATAATCATGTGGTTTTTGTTTTAAGTTCTGTTTATGTGATGAGTTATGTTTGTTGATTTGCATATGTTGAACCAGGCTTGCATCCTGGGGATGAAGCCAACTTGATCATGGTGGATAAGGGTTTTGTTTGTTTGTTTGTTTTGCTGAGATGAAGTCTCACTTCTGTCCCCCCGTCTGGAGTACAACAGCGTGATATCAGCTCACTGCAATCTCAGCCTCCCAGGTTCAAGTGATTCTCCTGCCTCAGCCTCCTGTGTAGCTGGGATTACAGGTGTGTACCACCACACCCAGCTAATTTTTTGTATTTTAAGTAGAGATGGGGTTTCACCATGTTGGCCAGGCTGGTCTCGAACTCCTGACCTCAGGTGATCCGCCCACCTCGGTCTCCCAAAGTAATGGGATTACAGGCATGAGCCACTGCATCCGGCCCATGATGGATAAGCTTTTTGATGTGCTGCTGGATTTTGTTTGCCAGTATTTTATTGAGGATTTTTGCATTGATGTTAATCAGGGATATTGGCCTGAAGTTTTCTTTTTCTGTTGTATCTCTGCCAGGTTTTGGTATCAGGATGATACTGGCCTCATAAAATGAGTTAGGGAGATGGCCCAGTCTCCTTTTCAATTGTTTGGAATAGGTTCAGAAGAAATGGTACCAGCTTCTCGTTGTACCTGTGGTAGAATTTCGCTGTAAGTCCGTCTGGTCCTGAGCTTTTTTTTTTTCTCTCTTTTTTTTTTTTTTTTTTTTTTTTTTGGCTAGTAGGCTATTAATTACTGCCTTAATTTCAGAACTCATCATTAGTCTAGTCAGGGATTCAGTTTCTTCCTGGTTCAGTCTCTGCGGGGGAGGGAGAAGTCTATGTGTCCAGGAATTTACCGATTTCTTTTAGATTTTCTAGTTTATTTGCACAGAGGTGTTTATAGTGTTTTCTAATGATTGTATTTCAGTGATATCCCATTCATCATTTTTTATTATGTCTATTTGATTCTTCTGTCTTTTCTACTATATTAGTCTAGCCAACTAGGCTAATTTTATTTGTTAATTTAATGTAATTTATTTTAAAAATAAAGGTATTTGAAAAAAATATTAATTGTATTTTACTTTTATTTTTATATTTTATTAGTTTTTATTAATTTTTTTCAAAAAAAACAGCTCTTGGATTCGTTGAGTTTGAAGTCAATTAAATGAATATAGATTATAAAGTCAGGTGGTGATACATCTTAAAAGTGGGGGGAGAAATTTGCAAATTTAGGCAGTGGGCAGTGGTGTCATTTTCTTATTGTCTAGACAGAGAATTCCTCTCTGATGATTTTTATTACTCCATTCTCACACTGCTATAAGGAACTACCTCAGACCAGGTAATTTATTAACAAAAGAGGTTTAATTGACTCCACAGGCTGTATAGGAGGCCTCAGGAAACTTACTTACAATCATGTTGGAAGATGAAGGGAAAGCAAGCACATCTTACGTGGCTAGAGCAGGAGAGAGAGAAGTGGGGAAGTTCTACACACTTTTAAACAACCAGATCTTGTGAGAACGTACTCATTATCATGAGACTAGCAAGTAGGAAATCCACCACCATGATCCAATCACCTCCCACAAGGCCCCTCCTCCAACACTGAGGTTTACAATTAAACATGAGATTTGGGTGGGGACACAAAGCCTATCCATATCATTCTGCCCCTGGCCCCTCCCAAATCTCATGTCCTTCTCAAATTTCAAAACATAGTCATGCCTTTTCAGCAGTCTCCCAAAGTCTTAACTCATTCCAGCATTATATTAAAAGTCCAAGTCTAAAGTCTCATCTGAGACAAAGCAAGTCCTTTCCACCTATGAGCCTGTAAAATCAAAAACAAGTTAATTATTTCCAATGTACAATGGAGGTATAGACATTGGGTAAATATTCCCATTCCAAAAGAGAGAAATTGGCCAGAATAAAGGGGCTACAGTTTCCATGCAAGTCCAAACCCAGTAGGGCAGTAGTTAAATCTTAAAGCTCCAAAATGATCTCCTTTGACTCCATTTCTCATATCTGGGGCACATTGATGCAAGAGGTGGGCTACTAAGGCCTTGGGTAGCTCTGTCCCTGTGGCTCTGCAGAGTATAGCTCCTGCAGCTGCTTTCACAGGCTGACATTGAGTGCCTGCAGCTTTTCCAGGTGCACAATGCAAGCTGTCAGTGGTTCTATCATTCTGGTGTCTGGAGATGGTGGCCTTCTTCTCACAGCTCCACTAGGCAATGCCCCAGTGGGGACTCTGCATGGGGGCTCCAACCCCACCTTCCCTCTCTACACTGCTCTAGTAGAGGTTCTCCATGAGGGCTCTGCCCCTGCAACAGAATTCTGCCTGAACATCCAGGTGTTTCCATACATCTTCTGAAATCTAGGCAGAGGATCCAAACCTCAACTTTTGCTTTCTGTGCACCCACAGGCCCAACACCATGCAGAAGTTTCCAAGGCTTGAAGATTGCACCTGCTGAAGCAAGGGCCCAAGCTGTACCTTGGTCCCTTTTCCCCCATGGCTGAAACTGGAGCAGCTGGGACACAGGGCACCGTGTCCCAAGGCTGCACAGAGCAGTGGGGCCCCGGGATGGCCCACAAAATCATTTTTTCTTTCCTAGCCTCCAGGCCTGTGATGAGAGGGGCTGCTGTGAAGGTTTCTGAAATGCCCTTGAGGTGTTTTCACCATTGTCTTGGCTATTAACATTTGGTTCCTCTTTACTTATGCAAATTTCTGCAGCCTTGAATTTCTCCCCAGAAAATGGGTTTTTCTTTTCTACTACCTGGTCAAGCTGCAAATTTTCCAAACATTTATGCTCTGCTTCCCTTTTAAATATAAGTTCCAATTTCAGACCATCTCTTTGCAAATGCATATGAGCATATGCTACCAGAAGCAGCCAGGTCAAATCTTGAATGTTTTGATGCCTAGAAACTTCTGCAAGATACCCTAAATCATCTCTCTCAAGTTCAAAATTCCACAGATCTCTAGAGCAGGGACACAATGCTGCCAGTCTCTTTGCTAAAGCATAGCAAGAATTACCTTTACCTAGTTCCCAATAAGTTCCTCGTTTCCACTTGCGACCACCTCAGCCTGGACTTTACCATTTATACCACTATCAGCATTTGGTCACAACCATTCAACAAGTCTCTAGGAAGTTTCAAACTTTCCCACATTTTTCTGTCTTAATTCTGAGCCCTCCAAACTGTTCCAACCTCTGCCCATTACTCAGTTCAAAAGTCACATCCACATTTTCAGGTATTTTATAGCAATATCCCACTTCTCTGGTACCAATTTTCTGTATAAGTTTGTTCTCACACCGCTATAAAGTACTACCTGAGACTGGGTAATTTACAAAGAAAAGATGTTTATTTGACTCACAGTTCTACTGGTTGTCCAGGAAGCATGGCCGGAAGGCCTCAGAAACCTTACAATCATGGCAGAAGGCAAAGGTGAAGCAAGCATGTCTTACCATAGTGGAGCAGGAGAGAGAGAGAGAGAGAGTAAAGGGGGAAGTGCTGCACACTTTTAAACAACCAGATCTTGTGAGAACTCACTCATATCATGAGAACAGCAAGGGAGAAATTCACCCCCATGATCAAATTACCTCCTACCAGGTCCCTTCCCCAGCATTGAGAATTACAATTCAACATGAGATTTGAGTGGGGACACAAAGCCAAACCATATAAGGAGCTATCATGTGAACAACAGCAACAACAAAAACATACCTGAATGAAGACAGAGAGCAAGCCATACTCTCACACTAGTTTGGATCACATATATAGACCCTGGAGTCATTAGCACTATAGTGGTGTGAGAGAAAATGAGATTTCTGGGGTTGAGGTTGTAAAAAAGAGGAGATAAGAGGACCAAGAACCAAATCCTGGGAAACACTAATATTTAAGCAGGGTGAATAAAGATGACCAAGAAACAAAAAAGGAGGAATATTAGCAGAGAAAAATGGCCTGCTAGTAACTCAAGAGAAGTGTTTCCCCCAAAATGGACTCAACATTGTCAAACATTAAAATGATATCACTAAACATAGCTGATGAACAGAATGCATTGATTTTGGCAATTAAGAGAGCTTGCTAGGGGACAGAGTACTGTGAGTCAGTTTAAGATGAGAGAGAGAAGAGCATATATGTCTAAGGAAGGAAGGAGACAATTGAAAGTAAACTTGAAAATGCAAGAAAGAAAATGATAGTGCAAATTCTAAAAGATGCTAAAAGCTGGACTGGAGATTAAGAACCCTGGAAGAGGCCTCAGACTGACGAGAAAACAAACAAACAAACAAACAAAAAAACTCTTTGTGTTGCCATGTGGCAGAGTGATTAAAGTTAAACCAGGATTTGAGTGATAGTTTCTCCATGTGATAGCTGTTTAACTTCAGCAAATTATCTCTATATTAGTCTGCTTGTGCTGCCAAAACAGAATATCACACAGAGTAGGTGGCTTAAACAATAGAAATTTATTCCTCACAGTTCTGGAGACTGAAAAGTCCAATATCAAGGTGCTGGCCAATTCTGTTCCCCAGTAAGGGATTACTGTCCCCTAACATGGCACAGAAAGGGAGAGAGAAAGAGAGAGAGAGAGCGAGTTCCCTGGTGTCTCTTCATGTAAAAACACTAATCCCATCATGAGAGGGCCCCACTGTCATGACCTTACCTAAATCTAATTACCAGCCAAAGGCCCCATCTCCAAATATCATCAAGTTGGGAGTTGGGGCTTAAAGATATGTATGTGATAAATTTGGGTGGAACGCAGAGTGGGGGAACAATTCAGTCCATAACAAATGCTCTGTGTCCTAATTATAAAATATGAGTAGGAATAGTACCTACTTCAAAGTGTTGTGAGGATTAATTTATGTTAAGTTCCTGGCAATAGTGAGAAGTCAATGAATATTATAGTGTTTGGCATTGTTTTGCCTCTGAGATTAGAAGGAAGATAATCATAAGGTATATAGTCAGGGATGAGTATATGAGAATGACTTGGAACATTAAAGTAACTACCCTGAGAGCACAGATGTGCTCAGTGAAGTTGGAGGCAGCCTCATGAGCTCAGGTAGTAGAGGTCATCTCCAAATGTGGGGCATAAGAGAGAAATAAAGTTTTAAAATAGCATGTATGTGGAGTGGGAAAGGAATTCTACTAAATGGTGATGAAACTCCAGCTGACCTTGCAAAATTCCTCCAGCACATCTGAGAATCACTTTGAAATATCAAATTGAATATCTCCCTTCTCCCAACAAAAAGACCCAAGAGATGACCTTGGAAGGCTGAGTAGGTCTGACTCTCTGCAAGAGAATTAGGTCAGTCATTTTAACCTCATGGAGTTCAGTAACCTCATAACTTAGTTAAAAGGAACGTATGATATATGAGAACATAATCAGAACAATAGTATATCACGTCACCTATACAGGGTGACCATATCTTATATTTTCCTTTCTCTTTCACCTTTCTAAGGTCACACATAAGAACCAGGAAAAGAAACTGTATGTCACTCGCCTATAACAATTTCTTCTACTATACCAGACCTGTTTTCCTTACCAACACCTTTCACCTCATTTATAGCCCTCAGTGTATCATGTTCAGCATTTTAGGTGCATGTCAAGAGAAAGGAAGTCATTTCCACTCTGCCACCTAAAGAGTCAGGGGCTAGGGGTACCCCCACTTTACCTATATGGACTGGGCCAAAGCCAGCAAGAGAAAATTATGACTGATGTTGAATATGATAGTGAAAGAACACTTTGAGCAAGATATACTCTGTGCCAGGAAGTGATCTAAGTCTTTTACATGCATTATCTTCATGTATCCTCTCAACAACTCTCTGAGGAAGGTACTATTATTATCTCTATTTTTTCAGTTGAGGACATTGTGGCAATCAACAGGAGAAACCTGGCAGCTAAGCTTCATTTCTAATCGCCAGAAGGAGTCTGGAGACCAGAATAGTTGAGCTCTGCTGGATCCAGCAATTTCCATCCTGACACCAATGCTTGATGGATTTGAATTTGGGCTTTGAAGTACACAGAATATAAGGTAGTATAAATATATAATTACCAAGTTTGTTCTGTGAGCCTTCAATCCATTCCCCCATCACCATAATCCCTAGGTGGGATCTAATTATCAATACTCAAATGTAGGGAAACCAGCAGGAGTTAGAAATTTCCCTCAAGACCCCACTCCACCCTCCCCATCCCCATAAACAACTCATTAATATGTGACCTGCTCTCAGATCCACCTGAAAGTATAAAAATACATGCATTGATTTGCTGGTAAAGCATGTGGATGTGGAAGTTTTCTGACATTCAGGAAGTTAACCCTCCTGTTAAAAGTCCTCACACTACAACAGCCTGAGGTGCAGTCAAAGAAAATGTCAATGATATTCAGAATGCTCAAGTGAATAAATAGGCTTCTCTCCAAGTCCCCAAGAAAGAGCGAGCTAAGCTTAGTAACAACACAGTGGGAATTTTGCAGTATTTGTCATATTCATTGCAGGGATATTCTATCCAAGAAAGGGAAGTCTTTGAGTGGTCATTCTTCTGCCCACCTAAATAATACTAATAAAGAGATCCTCAGAACGAAGCAGGGATAACAAATGCAGAGATAGACTTTCGCTTTCAACTTTTAAAGTTTATTGTTGAGACTTCTGGTGGTCTCTCTCTCTCTTTCTCTCTCTCTCTCTCTGTCTCTCTCTCTCTCACACACACACACACACACACACACACAAAGATGAACAGTGAAACCTTCTTTAAATAATCACTCAATGAGGCAGATAAAACTGACTGCTGGGTAAGGATGACTAACTAAAAAGCCTAACTAAAGATCAAATCCAATTTTACTAGAGGCTATATATGAGGATGCTTTAAAATTCATGTCTTCACTGGAAAATCAGTTGACTGAGGCACCCTGGTGCAGGATTCCATCTAAAAATCTTCTAATGAGGTACAAAGCTGGTGATCATGCTGGTGTGTTTCACCAAGCACATCTTAAGAAATCAGATTCTGTGAATCTTATTTTAAAAGGTCCACAGTCTTCAAAGGTTTGAAGGTTTTTTTTTCTCCCCTTAATGCAGTTATTGAGAAGCTATCTATCTGAAGCTGCACTTCAGCAGAACTGTGTTTCTCTTAAAATTTGATCAGAAGATTCACTGTCAAAAAATCTGTATTTTCAACTATGCACACAGGAAAGCATTCCATTCAGTGTATTTATTGCTCTTCTGGGAATAGGAAACATCTAATATGGTATCAAGAAGTGTATCAATATATAACATGAAAATAGGAAGTGGATAAAATTAAAGCACACATCAGTTGGGACTTAAATACGATAATAGGTGCTTTCAAACAGTTTCATGATTTGGCCTAGAGGGATGCAGTCCACTTAGCCTACATTAGTACTAACTTAATTCAAAATAGAATATAGTACCAGTTTTTTTTTTCTTTAAGAAAAGTGACATTGAATGAATTAAACTACATTTTAAAAAAGAAAACCAGATAAGCCAAAAGTGTAATTGGACCTTTAAGACAATTTTACAGTTTCTGGAGAGTCTCAGCTATTTTGGACTGTGACAGGCAGCTGGCATAGCAATGCAAAGCATGTTTCAGTTCATTTTTCTATTGCTTCTTTCAGAGGATAAGCTGCCAAGAACAATTCGAGGTGCTTTAATAGAAAGCCTTTGCTATCACATTATCTATGGACCATTTCAGTAACTGGAGCTGCTTAGGCAAAGGAACTGCCAGTCCATAGACTTGCACTCAATAAGAATAAGAGCAAAACATTGCTAGAACCAGTTTTCAAACCCTGAAATTTTATTTCATTATTTCATTGAAAGATGACTTGTTCATCAACACTTACTAAAATATGATGGGAGGAAATAGGAGGAACCATCTTCCTGTTCTCTCTTCAGCCATCTTGGCTTATGAGCCAGACTGGCCGAGTCTGAAGCTTGTTCTGCCACCAAAGAGCTGTGTGGACTTGGACAACTGCCTTAACATCTTTTTGTTTCCATTTTTTCATATGTTAAAGGGACCTCTAATTGTACCTACAGCATGGAGTTTTTGGAAGAATTAAATAGGTTGATATGTGTAATGCACCTAAAATAGTGCATAGCATATGGTAAATGTTTAATGTGTATTGGTTGACATTACTATTATTATCTACACAGGCTAAATATATCCTCCCTGTAAACCCTCAGACTTTCCCAAATCTTTACATATCAGCAGTGTTACATGACATTAAACCCCTATCTCTCCAGGGCCATGATATTTCTTAGGCTCTGGGTCAGCATTGTGGTATGCCTGTCTCCAGGCTTCATCTTCCTCTTGTCAAACATGCACTTCCTTCAGTTTCTGCCCCGGTCAGTGGTGTCATCATCACCAACTGTCCAAGAAAAAGTCTTTAAAATTATTCAGTATTTATTGCACACTCACATTGTGTTTAACTAGTTCTGTTAACAGCTAGTTAATCATTGGTAAACAAGATAGAATTGATCTCCGACTTTAAGGAATTTATACTTCTGAACCATTATCAAATAACAAGTATGACTAATGATGCAAAGAATGAAATGAAGAAGGTGTGTGCACTAGGAATGTAAGGTGGAAATACCTAACCTAGTTTAGAAGGTCAGGAAAGCCATTTATTCATTCATTTATTTAAATGATATTTCCCAGGCACTCTCCTGGGTGCTAAGGGTGCAGAAAAGAACAATAAAAGTTCTTGCCCTCGGGAAGCCAGCATTGTGGTGGAGGGAGACAAGCAAATAAATATTTAGTATAGTAGATGGAAATAAATCCTATGAAGAAAATATAAGCTAAGTACAAGAGATGAATGGGAGAGGTTGCTGTTTTATATAGATTGCTCAGAAAACTACCTCTCCAATAGGGTCACATTTGAACATAGACCTGAAGAGAATAAAGAAGTGTGGATACTTGCAGGAAGAACCTTTCAGCAGAGGAAACAGCAAGGGCAAAAGGTCCTGCATCAGAAGTATGCTTGATGTGCTTGAGGAATAGGAAGAGGCTGGTGTGGAGGAGGCAAATTTAGGAGTGGATGGGGAGGGGATCAAAGAGGTGGAAGGCACCCAGGAGCCACAGATGGTGGACTTTTGTAAGGAATTGGCTTCTCTTCTGAGTGAGACAGAGAGCTACTGGAGGTGAAATGATCTAACTTACATTTTTAAAAGTGACGTAAATTCCTCCAATTCTGTGCCTTGAAGGTAAGGTGGACACAGGCAAGATTGAAAGCAAATTGGTCAGTCTGGAAGGCTAGTGCAATCATCGCCAGGAAGAAATGATGGTAGCAGTGGAGATGAGAAGACACCAGATTTTAGTTATACGTTGGAGGCAGAATTAATAGGATTTCATTAATGAGTCGGTAAAAAGAAAGAGAGATACCAGGGTTTCGAGGGCTCAGCAACTGAAATAAGGCTTTTAATAAAAACCCTTGTACTATGACCTTATTTGGGGTTATTCCTGTATCTGGACAAAAACGTGGAGGAAAGATGGAGTTAGGGAAGATGATGGGGGATGGGGATAAGTTATAAGGAAGAGGGCAGGAATCACATCTTTGCTTTTGAACATGTTAAGGGTGAGGTGCCTATTAGACATTAAGGCTTTGCATTGATAAAGAGATATTTAAACTCCCATCTTAAGGATAAATAGGAGTTAGAAGAAGGGGCAATAGGTGGGGTGGACAGCATGGAGAACAGCATTCCAAGGAGGGGCAATAGTAAGCCCTCAGAGTGAGAGACTTGAGCTCCAGTTTTGACTCTTCCTAGCCATATAATCTTGATCAACTTAAAACAGGGGTAATAATACTTTTCCCATGTAACTGTTTTAAGAATTGTATAAGGTATTGTTTGAGAAAAAGGCATTAAACTACATTTTAAACCTTGTAGCATATCTTAAGCCCCTGCTCCACAGAGATATTGGTAACTACTATCTATCTTCAGATCCAGTTACAATAACAGTTCTAGAAAGAGGGTCCAGGAAAAAGCAAGGATTCCTATTAGACTGCTATTTTCTTTGTGTTGCTGTGACAGACTGACAAAGCAAGCCTGATAAAATGTTCTCTGTGCCACCTCATGATGACAGAGGGCCAGGCCTAGACTCACCGTGATTCTGTGAGGAAGATGACCTCAGATGTTCACAGGAGACAGATGTTTGAAGGACAGCATAGTGCTACGATGGCACAATGTTCATCCTTGTTTCAAATATTTGGTCCTTTTGTCCCCATAAGTGCTCTTATGGTTCTAAAGCCACATGCTTAGAAGACAAAAAGATTTTTTGAATCTTCAGGAGAATACTGAACGTTTCTCTAACACTTGTTTCCAATTAGAAGTTTCTCCGTAAGAATATCACATTAGTGGTAACTATTTGTACTTGCATTCAGGTTCTCCATTCCCTAGACTTTTGGCCTTCATATAAACAGTGACTCCACTAACACATTCAACAAGCACGTATGAGCCCTGACTATTTGTCAGGCACTGGATGGGTATCAGAAATACAGTTGTAAGTATATTTACACTGCCTTGAAGGAATTTTTGGTCCACTGCAGGAAATAAGGAGGTTAAAAAAAAAAGTGTGATGAGCAACACAGGACCCCCGAAGAAAGCCACTTATGCTGAATAACCAAGGTAAATAAGATTTAGGAAGAAAGTGACATAAAGGCTGAGATTTCAAAGATAATAAGAAATTAATGGGAGAAGTGTTGTGGGGGAAGAAAAAAAAGGATGGAGTTCCAGGAAGAGGCCTTTTGCAAAGGCTCAAATGTGAGACATGAGAAGCTATAGGGTGAAAAAGTCCAGTGCGGTTGGAGAACAGAATATTATGAAGAAATGGAGTTGGTGGGGAGGGTGCAGGGGGCAGAAGGGAGAGATGAGACTGGCAAGGGAAGCATCCGCCAGGTCATAAGTAGCTTTATCAGCTATGCTAGGAAGGTTGCATTTTCTTCTTAGGGCAAAGCAAGCCATGAGGGATTGTAAGCAGGAAAATTACATGGCATGATTTTTATTTTATAAAAAAAATTATCATTAATGGAAATAATGGACTTGACTCACAAAATAAGACTAGAGACCAAGATATCAGTGAGAAAAGTGAGCTAATATTTCCAGTATGGGTTAAGAGGTGTGCCTAGTGTGATGGGAGATGAGAAGGCAAGGACCAGAGCAGTGGAAATCAGAATCATTTTATTGAAAAGATCGCAGAGGTAAATATGGTAAGATGTGATGACTAATTAAATATGGATGGCAAGGCAGAGGGAGCACTAGGTCCCAAGGTATCCGTCTTAGACAAATTAAGCGAAAAATAGTGCTATTTACCAAGATGAAGAACAGAAGATAAAGAGTGGGTTTACAGGGTCTGGGGCCCCATTAAATTCCAATGTATAAAATAATTCTTCTCAAGGTTCTTTCCAATGACAGAATTACGTATAAGCGGAGCTACTAACAGTTACTATGTCCTCTGTTATGGCCTTAATTGTATGCCCCCCAAATCTTTATGTTGATGCGCTAATCCACAGTACCTCATAATGTGATGTTATATGGAGAGGGGCCTTAAAGAGGTGATTAAGTTAAAATGAGGCCATCAGGCTGGGCCCTAATCCAGACTGACTGGTGCCCTTATAAGAAGAGAAAGTTTGGGTACCCAGACATCGACAGATCATTGGAGGACAGAGAGAAAGCAGGCATCTGTAATCCAAAGAAAGGGGCCTCAGAAGAAACCAAACCTGCTAACACCTTGCTTCTGATGATCTAGCCTCCAGAATTGTTGAGAAATACATTTCCATTCTTTGAGCTCCCAAGTCCGTGTATTTTGTTATGGCTGCCCTAGCAAATGAGTGCACCCTCTAATCCAGTGCTTCTCAAACTCTAGGGTGCACAGGTAACACCTGGGAATCTTATTAAAATGAAAAGCTGATTTGGAAGTTTGGGAATGAAGCCTGAGATTCTGGATTTGGATCAGCTCCCAGGTGATAGCCATACTGATGATCAGGATCACACTTCGAGTAGCAAGACTTTAAATGAGTATTTATCTGCAATCAAAACCACTATAAGATTGGGAGTGGTGGTTCACGCCTGTAGTCCTAGCACTTTGGGAGGCCAATGGGAGTGAATCGCTTGAGGCCAGGAGTTTGAGACCAGCCTGGCCAACATGGCAAAACCCCATCTCTACTAAAAACACAAAAATTAGCCGGGCATGGTGGTGCATGCCTGTATTTCTAGTTACTCGGGAAGCTGAGACACAAGAATCACTTAAACCGGGAGGCAGAGGTTGCTGTTAGCCGAGATCGCGCCACTACACCCCAGCCTGGGTGACACAGAGAGACTCTGTCTCTAAATGAATAAATAAATAAATAAATACACAAACAAACACTATGAGATACCACCATATACCTGTTATGATTGCTGTTATCAAAAGGACACGAGATAACAAGTATTGGCAAGGGTGGAGAGAAAAAGGAACCTTTGTACACTGTTGGTGTAAATGTAGATGATATGGTTAGGCTTTGTGCCCCCACCCAAATCTCATCTTGAATTGCAATGCCCATGATCCCCACATGTCAAGGGAGAGACCAGGTGGAGCTAATTGAATCATAGGGTTGGTTTCCCCCCATGCTGTTCTTATGAGTGAGTGAGTTCTCATGAGATCTGATGGTTTTATAAGGAGCTCTTTCCCCTTCTCTCAGCAATTCTCCTTCCTTCTGCCTTGTGAAGGTGTCTTGCTTCCCCTTCACCTTACATCACAATTATAAGTTTCCTGAGGTCTCCCCGGCCATGCTAAACTGTGAGTCAATTAAATCTCTTTCCTTTATAAATTACCCAGTCTCGTGCAGTTCTTTATAGCAGGATGAGAACTGACTAATATGGTAGACTTATAGAGCCATTATGGAAAACAGTGTGGAAGTTTCTAAAGAAATTGAAAATAAAACTACCATATGACCCAACAATCTTTCTTCTGGCAATAAACCAAAAGGAAAGGAAATATGACCTCATAAATATATCTGCACTCCTATGTTCATTGCAGTATTATATAGGATAGCCAAGACATTGAAACAACCTAGGTCTCAATCAATGGATGCATGGTTAAAGAAACTGTGGCATATATATGATATAATATTATTTAGCCTTTAAAAAGGAGGAGATCCTGCCATTTGCCACAACATGGAGAACCTGGAGGATATTATGTTAAGTGAAATAAGCCAGACACAGAAGGAAAAATATGGCATGATCTCACTTATATGTGGTATATTTTTTAAAAAGTCAAAAGTATAGAAACAGAGAATAAAACAGGGGTTACCAGGGTCAAGGGGAAGAGAGGAAATGAGGAGATGTAAAGTCAAAGGATATAAAGTAGCCACTATGTAAGATGAACAAGTCACAAGTGAAAAGATCTAATGTACAATGTTGAGGACTATAGTTAATAACAGTGTATTGTAGTCAGAATTTCTGCTAAATGAGTACATTATAGCTGTTCTTGTCACAAGGGAAAAAGTAGGTAACTATGTAAAGTAATGGATTTGTTCCACTTTTGGAAATATATATATAGTTTGTTTGTTTGTTTGTTTCCCCTTGAGATAGGGTCTCTGTTACCCAGGCTGCAGTGGCATGATCACGGCTCACTGCAGCCTCAAACTCCCCTCAGCCTCCAGCATAGCTGGGACCCCAAGCACATGCCACCAGGCCTGGTTAATTTTTTTTTTCAGTGGAGAAAGCACTCTCTCTGTGTTGTCCAGGTTAGTCCTGAACTCCTGGGTTCAACTGATGCTCCCGCCTTGGCTTCCAAAATTCTTGGAATGATAGGTGTGAACCACCACTCACAGCTTTACTATATATATATATTAAAACATCATGTTGTATACCTTAAATATACACAATATTTGTTATGAAATATAAATAAAACTATAAATACAAATAATGTGTTTGTCAAAACTCAGTCCAAGGACTCTCTGTAGCTGAATCACCTGGGGCCCTTCTTCAGCAGACAGATTTCTGAGCCCAGGCTTTTTAAATCAAAAACTCTATGTCAGGAGGTGGGTCCCAGGGGTGCATATTTTTAAAAGCTCACTAAGCAATTTTATGCACACCAAAATTTGAGAATTATTCCCACATAGCATCTCTAAGTACCTTAGGCAATTCAGTCCATTGCTCATCTTCCACTTGTCATTTTCCCCTTGAAAGCTGGAACGTGCTTTGAGGACACAGGCCAATTCAGCAACACAGACCCAGAGCCTCTTGCGGAGAGGCACTGCCTGTAATATTTGGGAGGAAACCTTGTCAGAAACTGACACTTGAAGTTAAAAGCAGTTCACATATTTATGGGTTACAGTGTGACATTTGGATATTTGTATACAATGTGTAATAATTAAATTAGGGTAATTAGCATACTGGTCACCTCAAACCTTTATCATTCCTTTGTGTTATAACCTTCAAAATCCTCTCTTCCAGCTATTCGAAAAATTATTGTGTCAGTTTTACATAAATATATTTTTTAAAAATAAGTAAATAAGCAGCTCACAGATACAAAAGTAATTATAGACAACCTCCCAGGCTTTTAAGCAGATGCTTTTGCATATAAAAGGTGAAAGTTGAGGCAATAAAACCTAGATAAAAAAATATAACAGTAATTCCAGGTTGCTTCTGAGGAATACAATTTGCTTAATTAACTGAGGTTTCATAGCCTCCTGGAGGCTTGAATTCATGGGTATCACCCCAGACACTAAGGCAACTCAGGAAATAATGGTAGGCACGATTTGCCTGCCATCTGGATCCCCTTGCCTTGATCTACATTCAGCTTCCCCCAACCCCTCAACTATCTCCTGCTCTTTTCTGAAGTCCACCTCTCCATTCCCAGTTCTCCCTCCCCACAGCCCAGGTTGCTTATCTGGGCACATTCTCAGGCAGACTGTCCCCTAACAACAGAAAGGCATGATGTTCTATGGAAAGGCTCGTCTTGCTGTCAGGAGCTTTTTCCTCTACTCCTTTCTCCACCGAACCCCCAACACCACTCTCCAGGCCTTTGGACTCCTCAAATACATCTGTTCATCTATCCAGCCCTCAGTTTCTTCCCATGTAACAGAAAGCTGAGTTAGATTATCTCTAAGTCTCTTTAGTCAATAAAATAGTTTTAATCTTACAAAATGAATCAGAAAGAAGCTTTGGATCTATTGCTGAATTACTTTTTTGCTAGTTTCATTTGTAAACCTGAAAAATTCAACTCACTTTGCCTCAATCTCTTACCAGTCAGATTGAACTAGGAATACATTGGCAGACTGCCTCACATTTACCCTACCAACTCTTGACGACTGACTGCTTTCAAGGTCAATGTGAGCCCATCCATGCCTCAAGGCTTTGCTTGCTTTCTACCCAACTTACTTTGTAGGCATGGGAGATGGGGGAGCACAGACCAATTTCCTTGCAATGTCCCAGGACTCCATAATCCCAAGTGAGGAGAAAAGAGCGGTGATCGTTTAGTGGGTTGCAAATTCCTGGCACCAGCTCTGGGATAAGGGAATTGGTGTTGCTGACTACAATATGCTCAATCTCCCCTTAGCTGGGACAGTTACTATACCCCTAGTTCTTGACGAATAACTAGGTAATAGCAATCAAGGGCCTTTACACCAGTAAGCCTACACGTATATTTTAACATAGTGGTGAAGTCCAGGATTTAGAGTTAGAACTTGGTTCAAATTTAGGCTTTTTTACTTACTTGCATGATTTACCTGACTGCTTAGAGTCTGAGTTTCCTCCTTTGTAAAATAGAGTAATCCTTCCTTAGAATTATCAGGGGAATTACATGAGATTATATACATAAATCACTAGCAGGGTAAGGAGAAAATAACAATTGTTAAATAAAAAGAGGGTTAAAAACTATCATTTTGCTCATCATAAAAAAGGACTAAGCTAGGCTCTTTATTCCAAAATGTCAAATCCCTAGGATTAAGTTGACCTAAACATTATAACTATTTTCAGCAAGGAGGCATCTTAACACTTCAAAGAACAACCCCCATCTGAAAGTGCAAGGTCTGCTGAATGGAAGGTACACCTAAAACCGTGATGTGGACATTCTGTGCTTGGTTTGTGTGTCTTTAACAGGGAGAGCAGTACTTTTCTCTTAATGAGCTCTTCCACAGTCTGGGGACACTGGGGGACCATTAGACTTTTCCTCTGCAAAGTGAACAAGGCTCGTGGTTCCATAGTAACCACAGCTGAATAATTCAAACTGAGAAGCTTACAAAATGACAATTTACCTAAGGATGTTTCTATAGCCCCTTATGCTATAATCCTAATGAAAGGGCTTCTCATCAAGGCCGTTATTATTCCAGGAAAAAAAAACCACACACTCATATGCACACAAATACACACACATACACACCCTATTTCCAGTATTTTCTCAGTAGAGTACTACTAAAAAAAAAAGAATATTTATAAGTAAGCAGTGTTAACTTCCCTCCCAATACTTGAAATAGAGCTTCATTTTTGAATTACAACACATCTGAGGCATAACTAGAGAGAGACAGAGGAACCACTGCAATCAGCAGAATCACTGATTATACTTGTAATGACTGTCAGAAATGTACCTGTGGGCAAAAAGGGATTCACATTAACACAAAACACACACAGCCACTATCCACTTGCTTTCTGCTGGAAAGGCATATCCACAAACCTCATGAACCAGAATCACCTGGAGAAATTTTTTTTTTAATTACAGATTTGAACCTGATATCCCTAGAATTTCCCTCCTTTTTTGTTTTATTATTCAATCCTTAATTTGAAACCCTTAGAATTTCTCATTCTGTGTATCTGAGACAGAGCCCAGGAAGCAGTATTGTTTTTTAGAGCTCCTCTTGGATGATGTGTAATAAGATTTGGCAGTCATTGCTTCCCTAATCTGGTTATACATTGCACTGCCTGAACTAGGAATGACTTCCAGGTTAGGAAGAATCCACTCTGAATCCACAGTGTCTTCCATTAAAATATGTCCCTAAAGCATGGATGGAGAAAATGTATCTACATATCAAAAATTTTCAGGTTAAATGCTAAGATTCATTCAAAGTCCATTCTTAAAATTTGAAATAATCAGAATTCAATTTTCTGGATCACTTGATAAACCAGAATTTATTCCTTTAAGAAAAAGAGGCAAAACATTAAATATAAAAACATATAAGGATTCCATTGTAAAGAAATCAGCTTTGGAGGTATGGTCCAGGGTTTTTGTCGCATTCACTTTCAGCTCTTAGTGCGAGGGATTATCAATTCATTAGCATGTTGACCCTAGGGCACTGCAGGACTCTGAATCTTCAAAGCAGTGTTCAGTTATGTTTACCTCACCTTGCTAATTGTTAGGCCCGAAATATTAACACTCCTCTCTATGGCAGACAGCCTTGGACTCCCAGTCTTTCAGAATGCCCAACACCAAGAATGAACCTCCTGTGCCTGAGGTGGTTTAAAAGATGAAATACATAGGCCACCGACAGAGTAATCAGAACAGTGGTACAAATATAGAGCTAAGGTTCTTTCTACCACTTCAAAAAATTAGGGCTGGATTGTTTACTGGTGATAAAATAGAGTAACTACAAGGAGATTTGGGATACATTTTGATATAGAAGTTGTATGCATGATTAATTGGTCATGACAAAACCAGATTTTAGAATAAGAGCACAGGAAAAGGTAATAGAATTGACTTGAAGGTCAGCTGTTAGTAATTGACACCAATCTAGTCTGTTTCAGGTGCTATGCTACTTAGGGAAGAGAGGAAAACATAGATTAGATAGTTGGCAACATAGCTAGTCTTCTAGTTAAATCTTAGTTATTCATAAGATGCGAAGGAGGTCTCTGTCAGATCCTTTACCCCTCTCCTCTAATTTTATTCACACATTATAAAGTAGCTGTTTTAATCTCTGTTTTACAGATGAGAAAACTGAGGCTCAACGGCATTCAGTAACTTTCCCATCATCAAAACACAAGTAACTAGCAAAAATGGAACTAGAGCACTTCTCTTGGTTCCTCAGACACCTTCATGTCTCTCTCTCGATACATTTTTTTTCTTGATTCTATTAGTAAATGTGATTGTAGCTTCATTCAGTGACTATTTCTAATGATTTTTCTCTTTTACTAATCCATGAGTGTCATGGGGACAGAGATCTTGTCTGTTTTATTCTCTACTCCTTACCTAGAACCCAGCACAACACTTAACCTATAATAACCTCTCAATGAATATTTGCTGAATGAACGAATAAAGGCCCACTGACTCCATAGAAAGAAGATGCTTTCCATTCTCTTCCATAACCCATTCCCACCCTTAGGATCTCCAAATAACCCATCTAGTTTCATTCTTAATGCATCTTTATTTTATTTTATTTTTGTTTTATGTTATTACTTTATTTTATTGAGACAGAGACTTGCTCTGTCGTCCAGCCTGGAGTGCAGTGGTACAGTCTCAGCTCGCTGCAACCTCCACCTCCTGGGCTCAAGCAATTCTCCTGCCTCAGCCTCTTGAGTAGGTAGGACTACAGGCGCCCACCACCATGCCAGGCTAATTTTTGAATTTTTAGTAGAGACAGGGTTTCACCATATTGGCCAGGCTGGTCTCAAACTCCTGACCTCAAGTGATCCGCCCACCTCAGCCTCCCAAAGTGCTAGGATTACAGGCATGAGCCACCACGCTCGGCCCTAAGTCCATCTTTATTATCAGCAAGTTGGAGAAAATTATTCAGGTTTGCTTTTCATTTGATCTTTTTAGTACTGTGTAAATAAAACTCTAAAGACATATAAAGAACTAGATTGTTTCTGAATTTTCCTGGTTAAGATGTAAAACCATGGAAGACCTGGAGAGAACTACTTCAGGCAATATGTGTTAAGAAGCTGACCATAGAACCATGGTCTAGACAAAGGAGTACCCTGACATCTAGATCTTTTAGTCTTCTCCAAAAGCACTTCCTCTAGAATTCATTCTTTGAATCCCCCTCTTTTCCCTAGTTGGATATATATGTCTACCTACAAATAGCTTCTAAATTTTTTCTCCCTCTTTTTTAAATCATATTTATACAGAAGATGCTTTTTCTTCCTTTTTAGGGCTTCTGAAGATCTCTTCCAGGAAGCAGATGAGGAGTTTCCATTGCATAGCTCCTCTGCCAGCTCATTTCAGTTTGAATTCCTCCTCCTCATACGGCAGCATTTTTGTTGTCTTCGTGAAAATGCTATTTGGGGTTCTTATTCAGGTTTTCTACCTCTGTGTTTCAAGGATAGTATCTTTACACTTATGCTTGATATGCAGACTTTGCACATTTTTCATCTCGCACTCGATCCCAGGTGAATCAGTGGACAAAAATATATTTGGACATCTTATTTCCCTTAGTTACAATCAGAATAGCTAGTTAATCCATCTATATTGGCTTTGAAGCTTTTGGCATTTATTGAGTAATAGAAATTTGGGTAAGGACAGTAAGGAATCTAAAGATTTGACTGAACTATTCTTAACACTTTATATGCTATCATACACTCACAATCCATCTCTTAAATACTTTGTTTCCTTAGAAGACTTGAGAAGTTAATTTTTACCTTTCTGTTTTTAAATCACATACGTTCATATTTTCAAATGCATTCTCTCAAGTTGCTTGCATAATTGAATGTTCTAATATGTGCTTGTGCAAAACATATTCACCATTTAAAAGGGCATTTGGATGTGTAGAATAGTTGCTTTAATTTTTGCACAACAATGAAAATCAACAAAGTATGATTTTAAACTGAATAGTATACATTTTTTATAATATTTACTGAGAAAATTAAAACTTTGGTACTCCTGTGAAATGATAAAAGATACTTTCAAGAATCTTTATTCAGGGCTGCTATGTGCCAGACATTATCGTAGGTGCCAGAGACACAAAGATGAATAAGAGCAAACTTCTGTGCTTAAAGTACACATTAATGCAGAAAGATAGAACCTTGCTCTAATAATTGACATACAACCTGATATAGGCTGTGATTGAGGTATGAAAAATATAGAAAATTCCATGTTCATCTGAAATTAGCTGTCTTCAAAATGAACAGGATCCTAGACTTCAGATATTTATCCCATAGTACTTTTTCTCCTTTAACCAAATACTGTCCTAGGAAGAAAGTATTTGGGTGGCAGAAGTGTTGCCTAAGGGGAAGATAACTTAGCCAACTTTTTCATTCTATTTCACAGTTGTATCAAACTATTAGTAAACACCCATTAGGATTAATTCAAAGCAAGGGAGTGGGAATAAATGAAATCATGGTGAAGAAGACAAATGTTGTAAATTCTAAAATCTTAAGAAAATTATTAATCCTCAGAGAAAAATCCAGGCAATTCAAAACCTCACAATGGCATACACACAGATGCTACAGTTGATGCGTCTTTACATAGGACTGTGACAAGGTAGGAAAAGGAAAACTGCTCAAAATTGAAAGTGTAAATATAGAAAAGGAAGGCTGCTGGAGGGGGCGAGAAGGAAGAGAGACTGTGGTGTCCTAAGAGGATAAGGTTTGCATTAGACAATATGCAAGTCAACAAGAATAGAACTAAGGGAAAACAATACTTAGTCTGTCATGAGAGTCCTAAAAAAAGCCCAGGCATGGAAAAAGTAAAAACAAGAATATCTGTGCCAGTGCTGGACTAAGATGGGAATGAACCAGAAGAAGAAGGCAGAGAAAATGCTCCCATTTTCCCAGAAGCGTTGTCATTCTTTCTTTAAGGTGTAAAACTTATTAGAGCACACATCTTTTGAGGTCACATTTTATGTGAAACTCTCTACTAGTTACTACGGGATGGGGAGGGAGGGAAGAGGAGGGTTTGGGGTGGACGGCAGGTATAACATTCCAAAGGAAATGGTCCCCTTGCTGGGTGCACTATTATTGGCAAAATTTGCTGCACTGTGATTGAGATGATTGGCGATCGCTAGCTTTGAGGTCTGCAGAAGGTTTATAGCCCTCCATTTATGTGTACTGTAATTCACTCTTACAGCACTTCCAACAAACCCTGTATTTCACTCTCCAACCACTCTGGTTTGACCTAGAGCCCAGGAATAAATGCAATTATGGTGGCTGTTTTAACTTGCTGGTCATTTCTTTCCATCCTCCCTCGTCCATGGCAGCCTTCGTGTCAAATCCCAATCTGACTATTAAGGAAATCAGCATATCCCTTTGCAGTGGCTGATGGTGTCAATCTAGGAAAGCTAAGGACTACAGCAGAAGAGAACAAGTGACAGGGCAGAATTTCAGAAAAGTTCAGCAGTCATTCAACTGTCAAACTCCTTTATAGAAAATCAAAAATGACAATCAATTCCTGAGAAAGGGTATAATTTCCCAAACCACATAAAAAGACAATGCCAAACTGAAGAACTACAGCAAAATCTTAGGAGGGTTTCTCTGTCTCTCTGTCTCTCTCTCTCTCTCCTTTCTCCTCTCTCTCTCCTTTCTTCTCTCTCTCTCCTGCCAAGAATTTTCTCACATCAAGCTACTGCTATGGGTTGCAAGTGAATGAGTTGAAAGTAGCTTTTAATTAAAATGAGAGGGTAAAAAAGGGAGGTTTTCTTTGTTGTCCCCCAACTCCTTCTCATGTTTCAATGTTCCAGGTCTGCAGGACAGCCTGGCTGTCAGCCACTCTGCTATATCTTTGATAACTTCCCTGCAGCCCCAAGCTGTTAAGGTTTCTATAGCAGCAGCACCATATTGTACTTTATAAAATTGTTTGTCTTCCCTAAAGACCTTGTGTCAGTGAGGGTTGGGGACAACCTTTTATCTCTATATCTTCAGGTCCTGGCACAATGCTTGGTATAAAGTAAACTGGCAACAAGTATTTGCTGTATGAAGTAATTGAGGCTTTTCATGTTCTACCAAAACAGAAAAAGGATATTCTCTCAAAATTCTCATTTATATTCATTTGTAGATCAAAGCTGTTAAGTAACAATATGGGGAATTATGGAAAGAGATGGCCTTTCAATCAATACCACCTGAGTACTTAGCCTGGATTCAGATTATAACCTGGCTACCTCTGGGTAAGTTCCATAATGTCTCAGAGTCTGAGTTTTCTCATATGGAAAATTGGGAAGATGACATTTAGTCATACGGTGATTATGACAATTAAGTACATAAAGTACAGAAAGTATTTGGGGCACAATATCGAGCACATAGTAAGCACTACAGAAATGTTAACCAATATCAAAATGCCCAGAGCAGTACCTGGCACAGGGGAGGAGCTGAATAAATGGTAGTTTATTCCCACATAGATTTACTTATATGGGTGCACTGAAGACAAAAAATGTTGTCTTTTAAAAATGTGCATCAGACTGGGGGAAATAAGATATTTTCTCTGCAAAGAAAATATAAACTGGTGATGAATGCTGTGATCCATGCAGAGTGGTCTGAGAGTCCCGTTTTATCACTGGTTGCCCAACAAGGTTAGTTTTAATTTGATGCATGAGAAGGAATTTTTTTATAACTTGCTTTGGGATATTTTAGGCAAAGATTTAGTACAAACCTTAACTCTACTTGTGCCTGTAGAGATTTATATTCTGCTTTTAAAGTCAAATCATTTAGGATCAACTCCATTGCATATATTAGAAAATAAATACCCCATAAATACACTCTCACATCTATCCAGCTCTCCAGAAGCTGGAAATAACCACGAATTTTTGTTGTGCTTTACATTTTCCAGAAATGGCATATATAATAAATAAATAAATATTCGAATGGCAAATCAATACAATATAACCTTGTTATAAGAGACTCTTTCTTGCCAATTTTAAACAGGCTGTCATAAATACAGAATTGCCATTTCCTTTTGCATACCAATGTAAACTGCAACATGATCTATCCCACGGATGTAAATTTTGAACATGAAGATCAACAAGAAGCCTGATGATACATCATATTCACTTTTTAAATAATCTCCATTTTAAATGAAATATACATCCAATTAAATGACTCCATAAAATATATAAAGGATTTATATGCATATGATCTCTATACTGATAACATAGAAAAGAATTAAAATTTACTCAATGTACAGACAAAAAATAGATTTAATTTTCATATTGGTGACACCATTTGATAATAACCATAATATATGTTATTTAATGAGTACCTCTAAGATGTTGTCTCTAGCTGTAGACTCATTTATTGCTTACAACAACCTGAAGAGGTAGGCACAGTCACCTCCATTTCACAGGTAAGGAAATTACATTCTTATAAACATTCTGTTTACCATCTGTTCTGGCTTGGTCAGCAGGCAAGTTTTATACCAAATCCCACAAATGTAGATTTGAGTTCTTCTCCTGTTCACTGATCAAACATGACCTGTGCACTGTCTTTATCCTCTTCTTCCTGGGGACAACCTTACTGTAACACTGAAGCCAACTGAGGTCCAAAGTAGCCAAAACAACACAGCGACTCAAAATATTTTAGGGAAAGAGTGAGTAAGTTGAACCCACTTCACCACCACGCTCTTCCTCATAAAGATTCATGAAGAAAAAAATAGCTGTGTTCAAATAGCTAACAAATTGGCAATGGAAAGCACATTACGCCTATTCTACTGAATGCCAAATGGAAGAACTATGACCATGGGTACGTGCTATAGAAAGACAGGTTAACCTTAAAGGCAGGTTTTAGCCCTTTCCTTCTAACAGTCAGAGCAATTAGTTCACTTGCTGGCAGTTTAAAAACAGAGACTGATAAACAAACAATAAACAACCAAACCAACACCTGCTTCAATGATGTAGGACTTAAGTATCAGCTTGTTGATTTTACTGGGCAACTTTTAAGGCATCCTCCAACCCAAGGTTCTGTGATATTTCCTTCTATGTTTTGGCATAGGGCTTGGGGAATTCCAACGTTATTGGAATACACAAGTAGATACATGCTTTCTAACATGGGGCAGAAGAGATTAAAGAAATTTAGGACATGTATTTAGAAAACTATAGACATGCTGTGATTTATCAATGGTCATAATTCTTTTATTTTAAAGACATGATTATTGTCTTTAAAGACAATAATTATATCTTATTCAAACATTTGTTAATACAACAAATATTTATTAAGCACCTGTCCTAGGCAGAAAAAAAATACAATATTGACAAAGTCAGGTACTTGCCCTCATGACACTTATATCCATCTTGTTTACATTCCTCAGACATTACATTCTTCAAAAATCATTCTCAGAAGCCACCTGTTTTAGCTCAAAACAAGACAGGTAGATCTGCTTTCATGTCGTAACATTCTGTGAAAAAAATCTTTCACTGTGTTCCATGCATAAGTGTTAGAATTATGTGAACTCTTTTCCTTCCAAATTATAATTAACTTGAAGTTAGGGCCACAACTTATTAAATTTGTACCCCAAGTTCATTCCACAATGACGGGCACATGAGAGAAGGCCAATAACTCTTTTAAAAATTGTTGAAAAGAAAAATTATTAGAGTTTTATTTTCAGAAATACAGTATGCTAAGGACCTGGATAGGTCATCTTGTTGAAATCTATTTAAAATGACAGAAAGTCTTCAAAAATCATCTTTATCTACTAATTAACAAAAACATAAGGAATATTTGGGTTAAAAACAAAGTCAAGCCGGAATCTAGGAAGACAAGATGATTATTTAAAATAGTTTTTGCTCGAGAGTATTTACAAAAACAGGAAATTAAGCCTTGGTTATTCCACCTTATGAAACTTGAGGCATAGGAATAAAAATTCTAAGACCCATTCAAGGTACAGATTTTAAAAGATGATCATCCCACTTTTCAAAAGTAATCACCACTCCCAGGCAGCGATCCGGCCCTGCACTCCCTCCCTCTGCCTTTCATTCCCAGCTGCCAACATCATGGAAGCTTTGAAGCTCAGTAAAGAAGAGAAATCCATTGAGAACAGTCTGTAAAGGTCCGTACTGCTATCTACATCCAGACATTGGAAGGGAAAGAAAGAGAAAGAAGGGTGGAGCCAAGATGGCCAAATAGGAACAGCTCCAATCTACAGCTCCCAGTGTGAGCAACACAGAAGACAGGTGATTTCTGCATTTCCAACTGAGATACGGGGTTCATCTCACTGGGGAGTGTTGGAAACTGGGTGCAGGACAGTGGGTGCAGTGCACCAAGCATGAGCCAAAGCAGGGCAAGGCATCACCTCACCCACCCAGGAAGCACAAGGGGTCAGGGAATTCCCTTTCCTAGTCAAAGAAAGGGGTGACAGACGGCACCTGGAAAATCGGGTCACTCTCACCCTAATACTGCGCTTTTCCAATGGTCTTAGCAAACGACACACCAGGAGATTATATCCTGTGCCTGGCTCAGAGGGTCCTATGCCCACAGAGCCTTGCTCATTGCTACCACAGCAGGCTGAGATCAAACTGCAAGGTGGCAGCGAGGCTGGGGGAGGGGTGCCCGCCATTGCCGAGGCTTGAGTAGGTAAACAAAGTGGCAGGGAAGCTCAAACTGGGTAGATCCTACCGCAGCTCAAGGAGGCCTGCCTGCCTCTATAGACTCCACCTCTGGAGGAGCCAAACAAAAGGCAGCAGAAACTTCTGCAGACTTAAATGTCCCTGTCTGACAGCTTTGAAGAGAGCAGTGGTTCTCCCAGCATGCAGCTGTAGATCTGAGAACAGACAGACTGCCTCCTCAAGTGGGTCCCTGACCCCCAAGTAGCCTAACTGGGAGGCACCCCCCCAGTAGGGGCAGACTGACACTTCACACGGCCAGGTACTCCTCTGAAACAAAACTTCCAGAGGAACAATCAGGCAGCAACATTTGCTGTTCACCAATATCCACTGTTCTGCAGCCTCTGCTGCTGATACCCAGGCAAACAGGGTCTGGAGTGTACCTCCAACAAACTCCAACAGACCTGCAGCTGAGGGTCCTGACTGTTAGAAGGAAAACTAACAGAAAGGACACCCACATCAAAACCCCATCTGTCAGTCACCGTCATCAAAGACCAAAGGTAGATAAAACCACAAAGATGGGGAAAAAACAGAACAGAAAAACTGGAAACTCTAAAAATCAGAGCACCTCTCCTCCTCCACAGGAACACAGCTCCTCACCAGCAATGGAACAAAGGTGGACGGAGAATGACTTTGATGAGCTGAGAGAAGAAGGCTTCAGACAATCAAACTACACCAAGCTAAAGGAGGAAGTTTGAACCCATGGCAAAGAAGTTAAAAACCTTGAAAAAAAATTAGACGAATGGCTAACTAGAATAACCAATGCAGAGAAGTACTTAAAGGACCTGATGGAGCTGAAAACCACGGCACAAGAACTACATGACGAATGCACAAGCCTCAGTAGCCCATTCGATCAACTGGAAGAAAGGGTATCAGTGATGGAAGATCAAATGAATGAAATGAAGCGAGAAGAGAAGTTTAGAGAAAAAAGAATAAAAAGAAACGAACAAAGCCTCAAAGAAATATGGGACTATGTGAAAAGACCAAATCTACCTTTGATTGGTGTACCTGAAAGTGACAGAGAGAATGGAAACAAGTTGGAAAACACTCTACAGGATATTATCCAGGAGAACTTCCCCAATCTAGCAAGGCATGCCAACATTCAAATTCAGGAAATACAGAGAATGCCACAAAGATACTCCTCGAAAAGGGCAACCCCAAGATATATAATTGTCAGATTCACCAAAGTTGAAATGAAGGAAAAAATGTTAAGGGCAGCCAGAGATAAAAGTCTGGTTACCCACAAAGGGAAGCTCATCAGACTAACAGCTGGTCTCTCACCAGAAACTCTACAAGCCAGAAGAGAATGGGGGCCAATATTCAACATTCTTACAGAAAAGAATTTTCAACCCAGAATTTCATATCCAGCCAAACTAAGCTTCATAAGTGAAGGAGAAATAAAATACTTTACAGATAAGTAAATGCTGAGAGATTTTGTCACCACCAGGCCTGCCCTAAAAGAGCTCCTGAAGGAAGCACTAAACATGGAAAGGAACAACCGGTACCAGCAACTGCAAAAACATACCAAATTGTAAAGACCATCAAGGCTAGGAAGAAACTGCATCAACTAACGAGCAAAATAACCAGCTAACATCATAATGACAGGATCAAATTCACACATAATATTAACCTTAAATGTAAATGGGCTAAATGTTCCAATTAAAAGACACAGACTGGCAAATTGGATAAAGAGTCAAGACCCATCAGTGTGCTGTATTCAGGAAACCCATCTCACGTGCAGAGACACACATAGGCTCAAAATAAAGGGATGGAGGAAGATCTACCAAGCAAATGGAAAACAAAAAAAGGCAAGGGTTGCAATCCTAGTCTCTGATAAAACAGACTTTAAACCAACAAAGATCAAAAGAGACAAAGAAGGCCATTACAGAATGGTAAAGGGAACAATTCAACAAGAAGAGCTAACTATCCTCAATATACATGCACCCAATACAGGAGCACCCAGATTCATAAAGCAAGTCCTTAGAGACCTACAAAGAGACTTAGACTCCCACACAATAATAATGGGAGACTTTAACACCCCACTGTCAACATTAGACAGATCAACAAGACAGAAAGTTAACAAGGATATCCAGGAAATGAACTCAGCTCTGCACCAAGCAGACCTAATAGAGATCTGCAGAACTCTCCACCCCAAATCAACAATATACAGTCTTTTCAGCACCACACCACACCTATTCCAAAATTGACCACATACTGGGAAGTAAAGCACTCCTCAGCAAATGTAAAAGAACAGAAATTATAACAAACTGTCTCTCAGACCACAGTGCAATCAAACTAGAACTCAGGATTAAGAATCTCACTCAAAACCGCTCAACTACATGGAAACTGAACAACCTGCTCCTGAATGACTGCTGGGTACATAATGAAATGAAGGCAGAAATAAAGATGTTCTTTGAAACCAATGAGAACAAAGACACAACATACCAGACTCTCTGGCACACAAAATTTCCCTCTACATGTGTACAGGGAAATTTATAGCACTAATTGCCCACAAGGGAAATCAGGAAAGATCTAAAATTGACACCCTAACATCACAATTAAAAGAACTAGAGAAGCAAGAGCAAACACATTCAAAACCTAGCAGAAGGCAAGAAATAACTAAGATCAGAGCAGAACTGAAGGAAATAGAGACACAAACAACCCTTCAAAAAATCAATGAATCCAGGAGCTGGTTTTTTGAAAAGATCAACAAAATTGATAGACTGCTAGCAAGACTAATAAAGAAGAAAAGAGAGAAAAATCAAATAGATGCAATAAAAAATGATAAAGGGGATATCACCACTGATCCCACAGAAATACAAACTACCATCAGAGAATACTATAAACACCACTATGCAAATAAACTAGAAAATCTAAAAGAAATGAATAAATTCCTGGACACATACACCCTCCCAAGATTAAAGCAGGAAGAAGTTGAATCTCTGAATAGACCAATAAAGGCTCTGAAATTGAGGCAATAACTAATAGCTTACCAAGCAAAAAAAGTCTAGGACCAGATGGATTCACAGCCGAATTCTACCAGAGGTACAAGGAGGAGTTGGTACCATTCCTTCTGAAACTATTCCAATCAATAGAAAAAGAGGGAATCCTCCCTAACTCATTTTATGAGGCAAGCATCATCCTGATAACAAAGCCTGGCAGAGACACAACAAAAAAAGAGAATTTTAGACCAATATCCCTGATGAACATCGATACAAAAATCCTCAATAAAATACTGGCAAACCGAATCCAGCAGCACATCAAAAAGCTTATCCACCATGATCAAGTGGGCTTCGTCCCTGGGATGCAAGGCTGGTTCAACATATGCAAATCAACAAATGTAATCCAGCATATAAAGAGAACCAAAGACAAAAACCACATGATTATCTCAATAGATGCAGAAAAGGCCTTTGACAAAATTCAACAACCCTTCATGCTAAAAACTCTCAATAAATTAAGTCTTGATGGGACATATCTCAAAATAATAAGAGCTATCTATGACAAACCCACAGCCAATATTATACTGAATGGGCAAAAACTGGAAGCATTCCCTTTGAAAACTGGCACAAGACAGGGATGCCCTCTCTCACCACTCCTATTCAACATAGTGTTGGAAGTTCTGGCCAGGGCAATCAGGCAGGAGAAGGAAATAAAGGGTATTCAATTAGGAAAAGAGGAAGTCAAATTGTCCCTATTTGCAGATGACATGATTGTATATCTAGAAAACTCCATCGTCTCAGCCCACAATCTCCTTAAGCTGATAGGCAACTTCAGCAAAGTCTCAGGATACAAAATCAATGTGCAAAAATCACAAGCATTCTTATACACCAACAACAGACAAACAGAGAGCCAAATCATAAGTGAACTCCCATTCACAATTGCTTCAAAGAGAATAAAATACCTAGGAATCCAACTTACAAGGGATGTGAAGGACCTCTTCAAGAAGACTACAAACCACTGCTCAATGAAATAAAAGAGGATACAAACAAATGGAAGAATAGTCCATGCTCATGGGTAAGAAGAATCAATATCGTGAAAATGGCCATACTGCCCAAGTAACTTATAGATTCAATGCCATCCCCATCAAGCTACAAATGACTTTCTTCACAGAATTGGAAAAAACTACTTTAAAGTTCATATGGAACCAAAAGAGAGCCCACATTGCCAAGTCAATCCTAAACCAAAAGAACGAAGCTGGAGGCATCACGCCACCTGACTTCAAACTATACTACAAGGCTACAGTAACCAAAATGGCATGGTACTGGTACCAAAACAGAGATATAGACCAATGGAACAGAACAGAGCCCTCAGAAATAATGCTGCATATCTACAACTATCTGATCTTTGACAAACCTGACAAAAACAAGCAATGGGGAAAGGATTCCCTATTTAATAAATGGTGCTGGGAAAACTGGCTAGCCATATGGAGAAAGCTGAAACTGGATCCCTTCCTTACACCTTATACAAAAATTAATTCAAGATGGATTAAAGACTTAAATGTCAGACCTAAAACCATAAAAACCCTAGAAGAAAACCTAGGCAATACCATTCAAGACATAGGCATGGGCAAGGACTTCATGTCTAAAACACCAAAAGCAATGGCAACAAAAGCCAAAATTGACAAATGGGATCTAATTAAACTAAAGAGCGTCTGCACAGCAAAAGAAACTACCGTCAGAGTGAACAGGCAACCTACAGAACGGGAGAAAATTTTTGCAATCTACTCATCTAACAAAGGGCTAATATCCAGAATCTACAATGAACTCAAACAAATTTACAGGAAAAAAGCAAACAACCCCAAGAAGTTGGCAAAGGATATGAACAGACACTTCTCAAAAGAAGACATTTATGCAGCCAAAAGGCACATGAAAAAATGCTCATCATCACTGGCCATCAGAGAAATGCAAATCAAAACCACAATGAGATACTATCTCACACCAGTTAGAATGGCAATCATTAAAAAGTCAGGAAACAACAGGTGCTGGAGAGAATGTGGAGAAATAGGAATACTTTTACACTGTTGATGGGACGGTAAACTAGTTCAACCATTGTGGAAGTCAGTGTGGTGATTCCTCAGGGTTCTAGAACTAGAAATACCATTTGACCCAGCCATCCCATTACTGGGCATATACCCAAAGTATTATAAAACATACTGCTATAAAGACACATGCACACGTATGTTTATTGCAGCAGTATTCACAATATCAAAGACTTGGAACCAACCCAAATGTCCAACAATGATAGACTGGATTAAGAAAATGTGGCACATATACACCATGGAATACTATGCAGCCATAAAAAATGATGAGTTCATGTCCTTTGTAGGGACATGGATGAAGCTGGAAACCATCATTCTCAGCAAACTATCGCAAGGACAAAAAACCAAACACCACATGTTCTTACTCATAGGTGGGAATTGAACAACGAGAACACATGAACACAGGAAGGGGAACATCACACTCCGGGGCCTGTTGTGGGGTGGGGGGAGGGGAAGAGATAGCATTAGGAGATATACCTAATGTTAAATGACGAGTTAATGGGTGCAGCACACCAACATGGCATATGTATACATATGTAACAAACCTGCACGTTGTGCACATGTACCCTAAAACTTAGAGTATAATAAAAATAAATAAATAAATAAATAAAATAAAAAGTAATCACCAAAGGGCAACACTCTACTGCCCCCACTTCAACAGACTACAGAAACAAAATATTGATGATTTTAAAACTTGGTGTCAGTGAATGAAAAGCTATCTTCCCTGAGAAATTATAACCAAGATTCGGACCTCATATTGTAGTCTGAGTACATACTGCATTGGTGGTAATAAAAGCTTCAAGCCAAAGCTTTGTTGGAAGTAGTCTTAGACTGGTAAAGCCTCCAGATACCTGGCTAAAGCAAACACCAGTTATATATGGAGCAACTCACTTTGATCCGATACCTCAAAAAATCTCCACAGAAAAAATGTAACTGATGATCAACAGCTAGTAAACACCCAAGAGCGTAAGTATTGTGAGGCAGAGCCAAACAGAAAAAAACATAACAAAACCAGACCCAAACAGAATTTAAATACTAAAATTAGCAGAAATAATATACTGACCACTATGTTTAATATGTTTAAAGAAATTAAATAACAGTTTGAGATTATTAGTAAAGAGCTAAATAATTTGAAAAATAACTTTTAAAACTTCCAAAAATTAAGATATACTAGAAAATAAACACTAAAGTAACATACTTAAAAGTAGGTTATACTTAGCAAAAAAGATAATCAATTAACTGAATAATAGCATTGAAGAAGTTGTTCAGAATACAACAGAGAGGGGTAGATACATGTCAAGAGACATGAATGATAAAATGGGAACATCTAACACAACTTAATGGAGTTATAATAGAAGTGGTGAGATAGAATCAAAGGCAATATCTGAATAGATAACGGCTATGAACTTTTCAAAACTAGGGGTTTGTTACTATGACAAATTCAAGAACCCAAAAGATCTCAAGCAAGAGAAATGTTGAAGCTATAGAATGTTAAAAGATCTTAGTCAGAGACGAAAGGCAGATTGCATTCAAAAGAGCATCAATTAGACTGACAGCTGTTTTCTCTTCAACCACAGGGAAGCAAAACAGTGAATGATATTTGCACTATAAAGATAGAAAATAACTCTTGTGTTAAATTATCATAGCAAAATAACTTTCATGAATGGGGAGATATAAAGACATTTTAGAAAAATAAGAAGTTTAAGGTTTTCCACCAACAAACTTTCACTAAAAAATATGAAAATAACATAATTCGGACAGAATTCTCAAAATACAAGTCAATTTCAAGAAGGAATGAGCAGCAAAGAAAGTGGTAAATATCATAGAAATTCTAAACAGACTTTGACATCCTAAAAAATACAACTTGTAATGTTTAATATAACATTAAAATATATGACAACAATAAATTCAAAAAGGGCAGTTGATAGAATTCAATATCCTTTCATGATAAAAAAAAACTCTCAACAAATTAAGTATAGAAGGAATGCACCTTAATATAATAGAGGCCATATATGACAGACCCATAGGTAACATCATACTCAATAGTGAAAAGTTGAAAGCTTTTCCTCTCCTATCAGTAACAAGACAAAGATGCCTACTCCTACAAATTCTATTCAACATAGTATTGGAAATTCTAGTTCAAGCAATTAGGCAAAAGACAGAATAAAGGGCATCCAAACTGGAAAGGAAGCAGTTAAAATGTCCTTGTTTGCAGACAACATGATCATGCATATAGAAAACCCTTAAGGACTCTACCAAAAAACTGTTAGAACTAATAAAAAGAATTCAGGACAGCTGAAGGATATAAAATCAACATACAAAAATCAGTAGCATCACTATACACTAACAATGAGCTATCCTACAAAGAAATTAAGAAAACAATTGCATTTATACAATATTTACCAAAAAAATTAAAATACTTGGTAATTAATTTAACCAAAGAACTAAAAGAACTATTCACTGAAAGCTATACAACATTGATGAAGGGAATTAAAGAAGGCACAATAAATAAAAAGATATCCTGTGTTCATAAATTGGAAGAATAAATATTGCTAAAATTCCCGTACTACCAAAGCAGTAAAAAGATTCAATGCAATGCTTACCAAAATTCCAGTGACATTTTTCACAGAAGTAGAAAAAAATCCTAAAAATCATGCAGAACCACAAAAAAACCCTGAATAGCCCAAAAAAGACATTGAGCAAAAAGAACAAAGCTGGAGGCATCACACTCCCTGACTTTAAAATCTACTACAAAGCTTCAACCATAAAAGCATGGTAGTGACATAAACACAGACACACAGACCAACAGAACAAAATATAGAGCCCAGAAATAAATCCACACATTCATAGTCAAATGATTTTTGGCAAAGGTGTTAAGAACACACAATGAGAAAAATAATGTCTCTTTAATAAATGGTGCAATGATAACTGTACATTCATGCAGAAGAATGAAATTGGACCCTTATCGCACACCATAGGCAAAAATCAACAGAAAATGGATTAAAGACTTAAATATAAGACCTGAAAGTGTAAAACTCCTAGAAAAAAAAAAAGAAGAAGAAAAAAAAAGCTCCATGACATTGGTCTGGGAAATGGCTTTTTGGCTATGAAGCCAAAGCCACACGCAAAAATAAATAAATAAAATAAAATAAAGTGAAAAGATAAATGGGATTACTTCAAACTAAAAAGCTTTTGCACAGCCAAGGAAACAACAGAGTGAAGAGACAACCTACAAAATAGGAGATAATAATTGCAACCCATATATTTGATAAAGGTTTAACATCCAAGATATGTAAGAAACTCAAACAACTCAATAGTAACAACAAACAAAAAACAAGGAAAACCCAAATAATCCAATTAAAAATGGGCAAAGGATCTGAATAGATAGTTCTCAAAAAAAGACATACCAATGTCCAACAGGTATATGGAAAAAATCACTAATCATCAGATAAATGCAAATTAAAACCACAATGTGTTAGCACCTCATGGCTATTAGAATGGCTATATCAAAAAGACAAAAGATAACAAGTGTTGGAGAGGATGTGAAGAAAAGGGAACACTTGAACATTGTTGGTGGGAATGTAAAATACTACAACCATCATGAAAAACAGTATAGAGGTGCCTCTGAAATTTAAAAAAGAAAGAACTACCTTATAATCCAGCAATCCCACTACTGGGTGTATATCCAAAGGAAATGAAACTAGTATATTGAAGAGGTATCTGCACTTCATAGTTCATATTGCACAGTTGCTAAGATAAGGAATCACTCTAAGTGCTCACTGGCTCATTGACAGAAAATGGATAAAGAAAATGTGGTAGATATACATAATGGAATACTATTCATCTTGAAAAAAGGAGAAAATTCTGTCATTTGTGGCAACATGAATGAACCTGGAGGACATTATGTTAAATGAAGTAAGCCAGTCAGAGAAAGATAAATACTGCATGATCTCACATATATGTGGTATGTAAAAATGTTAAGCTCATAGAAATAGAAAGAAGGATGGTGATTACCAGAGATTTGCCAGAGTGTTGAGGAGATATTGGTCAAAGGATACAAAGTTTCATTTAGGTAGGAGGTATAAATGTAAGCGATCTATTGGTCAACATGGTGACTATTAATAACAATGTATTCTTGAAAATTGCTAAGAGAATAGATTTTGTGTTCTCACCACAGAGAAATGGTAAGTGAAGTGATGCACATATTAACTAGCTTGATGTCACCATTTCACAATGTGTACATATTTCAAAACAACATGTTGTACACAATGCATATGTACAATTTTTATGTCAATTTAAAAAACTTTAAATAAATAAAATACAGCCAACAATAATATATAAATTGAGAGAGGGTGAATGAACTATTCAAAAAACAAATTAATGTAATGTTCCACAAAATATGCTATATAGAGAGTAAAGGAGGAAACAGTTGCATTGCATGTTATGAGCTTAGGATAACTTTGATAATAAAACCTTAAAATGACAGAATAAAAGAGGGAAAAAAAAGACCAATTTTGCTTATGGACAAAGACATAAATATCTGATATTAAATTTAATATCAAAACTAAATAATAGTACGAGAAAGAAAAAATAAAGAGTAATCTCACTCAAGAAAATAGATTCAAATATCCTAAACTAAATATTAGTAAATTGAATTTAGTAATGCATTAAAATATTATATTTAGCTTACTAAATATTAGTAATAATATTTTCCTAATAGTCTGGGCTCCTATTAGAAGTACACAGTTTATTATTTTTTATATAACCTAATGTAATTCATCACATTTGGAGAAAAAAATGATTATTATAATTGAAGCAGAAAATGCCTTCAGTAAAATTCAAGGACAGACTTGTATTTCCAAAGTTTGTTAGAAAAAGGTGAAATTTTTTGAAAGCATTCCCTGTAAAAATCTGAATAAAACTAGGGTGCCCCTTTCACCACTTCTATTCAACATCGTAGTGAAGATCTAAATCATCCTAGTAAGGCAATGAAAAAATTACTGTTTCTTTTATTAATTTAAGGCACAATTTTTTGTAAAACTTTTTTTGCATTTTATAATCAATGGCATCTTAGAATCAATGACAAATGCTAATATTCTATTAGAATGGAAGAAATAACCTGTAAATAATAAGAAATGTTAGGAAGTTTTTATGTAGAAAACTCAAATGATTAATAGCAAGTTTTAGAACTGAAAAGAGTTTAGCAAGGTACTGGATATAAAATTAGCATTAAAAAAGATAATTGTAAACTGGTTGTAGTGGCTCATTCCAGTAATCCTAGCACTTTGGGAGGCTGAGGCATGAGGATCACTTGAGCCCGGGAGTTTGAGACCAGCCTGGGCAACATAGGGAGATCCTATCTCTACTGAAGAAAAAAAAAATTAGTCAGGCGTAGTAGTGCACTACTTGGGAGGCTGAGGCAGGAGGGAGGATGGCTTGTGGCTTGTGCCCGAGAGTTCAAGGCTGAAGTAAGCTGTGATCGAGTCGCTGCACTCCAGCCTGGGTGATACAGCAAAATCCTATCTCAAAAAAAAAAAAAGACAATTTTATTTCTATATAGTGGTAATAACTAGTTAGAAAATTCAGAAGAAGCTGTATGCAGTGGCTCACGTCTGTAATCCCAGCACTTTGAGAGGCTGAGGCGGGTGGATCACATGAGGCCAGGAGTTCAAGACCAGCCTGGCCAACATGACAAAACCCCATCTCTACTAAAAATACAAAAATTAGCCTGGTATGGCGGTGCATTTTTGTAGTCTCAGCTACTCAGGACACTGAGGCGCAAGAGTCACTTCAACCCAGGAAGCAGAGGTTGCAGTGAGCCAAGATCATACCACTGCACCCAGCCTGTGCAACACAGTGAGACTCTGTCTAAAAAAAAGTAAAGAGAAAAGAAAAGAAAATAAAATTCATAAGAAATGGCACAAAATATAAGGTATTTATGAAAAACTAAACTAAAAATGTGTGAAACTTATACAGAAAAAAATATAGAACTTTGTTGAAAGACTTTTAAGAGTCTCAACAAATAAAAATGTATATCATGTTCATGGACTGGAAAGTTCTTATCAATATCAATTAGATTCTAGTTCTCCCCAAATTAAGTTATAGATTCACTAGAATTGTTATTAAAATTTCAACATTTTGTAGGGGGATGTGTTGTGTATGTGTGTGTTAAACTGTTCCATCACTCTGGCTGCATGAGAAACCACCTGAAAATTCAATGGCTTAAAACAACAGCAATATTTATTTTATTCATGAATTTGGGCTGAATTCTGGGAACCTCTTATTTCTGCTCAACTAAACATCCCAGCAGTTGGAACTGCATAAAGGAGGAGGTTAGGATGTCTGAAGCTTTGCTTTCTCATATGCTTGTCACCTAAACTGAGGGCTGGAACAGTTGATGTTGGAACACTGGGGCTTCTTGGGCATCTCTCTCTATTTCTATACATTCTTCCAATGTGATCTCTCATCACCATTGCTTTAGAGTTGCCAGATATTTAACAACTCAGCTCTGGATTCTTGAGGTACATTAATGGGACAGGGAGCCAATTGGAAGCTTAAACAGCTTTTATGACTCAGCCTTAGAAGATTTACATCACCTTTGTCATAATCACAGAGCTACTCAGATTCAAAGGGTAGGAACACAGACCACATTCTTGATGAAAGAGTGTCAATGTCAGATTGCAAAAAGAGCCTGTAATATGAAATAAGTTAATGGGGCCAGCTCTGAAAAATGTAACTTCAATAAGATCCTATAATTGTTATGGAAGACCAAAAGGCCATAATTAACCAAAATATTTTTGAAGAAGAAAATGCCAAGACTTATTATAACACAATAATGCATTGTGACATAGGAATAGATAAATTGACCAAAATAACATAAATATATGGGCTACACACATATGAACATATACAAATATACACATACGTATATTAAAAACATGGAACATATGTGTGCATATATGTATATACATTCTTGGCTCACTCTTGGCCCTGTGTTTCTTCCTTCATTTGTTCATTCTTTCCTAACCGATATATATATATAATGATATGGTTTGGCTGTGTCCCCACCCAAATCTCATCTTGAATTGTAGCTCCCATAATTCCCACGTGTTGTGGGAGGGACTCTGTGGGAGATAATTGAATCATGGGGGGCAGTTCCCCCATGCTGTTCTCATGGTAGTAAATAAGTCTCAAAAGATCTGATGGTTTTATAAGGAGTAATCCCTTTCAGTTGGTTCTCATTCTCTCTCTTGCCTGCCACCATGAAAGACGTGTCTTTCGCCTTCTGCCATGATTATGGGGCCTATCAAGCCAATGGAATTGTGAGTCCATTAAACCTCTTTTTTCTTTATAAATTACCCAATCTTGGGTATGTCTTTATCAACAGTGTGAAAACAGACTAATACATATAGGTATGTGTGTACACACACACATATACATACATATGTACATACACATGCCCATATATATGCACACATATATACCCATAAATATGTGTTACTATACATGTACATATACATACACATGTACACACACATACCCATATATATGCACACATACATACTCATATATATGTGTTAGTCACATCAGGAAGAAATAATGTTGGAGCCTAACTCACACCATACACAAAAATCAATTCCAGATAGATTAAATTTCTAGAAAAAATATTGTGATTTACCCCACTCATTTTTTTTATGTTTCTTCCAAATGTTAAAAAAAAATACCCCAACAGGAATAAAATCAACTTTGTCTTTTGTCATTGTTAATTTTTTTACTTTCTTTGTCTGACAGTCAATTACCCTATGGCAAACTACTTTGAGTCCTCACCTGAGCAATATTTAATCAAACAACTCAAATACCACCTATGTTAATTGTCCTAAATGTTTGCATCAGAAAGAAAAATTAAGCCATGGCCCAGCCTTCCATATTTTCTCTCTTTTTTGGGGAAGAAACTGAAGAAAGGATCAAGATCATGTGTAAAAATACTGTCAATCTTAACAATGCACTACCATTTAACTCAATTGGGAGTTTTGTTTTGGCTCTTTTTCTTTCCTCGATTGGTAATAATCGGTAGGGATGAGGTAATTGTTTTGTTTACATTGCGTTTGTTCAAAAGAATCTAAATTTGTAAGAACCTACTTGTATTTGGCAAGCATTATTGTGAAACCGCTCTGACTATCCAAGTTTCTCAAAGGCTAACATTAACTGAGTTTTTCTAAGAAAAATTGTAGATACATCCTGTCAATCTTCATTCACTCTTGGCCCTGCATGTATTTTTATTCATTTATTTGTTCATTTGTTCTTAATTCACTTTATATGTGTTTATCTCTATGTCTTGGCCACTTAATATGTACCTGGCTCTTTTACTGATTCTGTATATTCATTAGTAAACAAAATAGAAAAAAGTTTTTAATCTTATGGGATTTAAATTCAAGTGAATGGAAACATAAAATAATAATATAAATCATAATTAAATTGATTATTTGATATGTTAAAATATAATAACTGCAGTAGGGAAAAAGAGATAATAAAAGTGTCAAGGATTTAGGTATCAGTTAAGCTTCGGAAGGTCACCCCAGTCAGAAGACAATTGAAGGATTTGAAGCAGATGGGGAAATGTGTAGTGATTTTCCTTGGTATTTAGCAATGGTGGTGAAAATCAGTCACCTGACAAACCTTGGGCTCATCATCATGCTTATCCTTCCAAAATGTCAAACATTTGTTCCCTTGGTCCTAAACAACCAATTGTGTTGTAGTGGGAAAAGTAAATGTTTTAGAATTAAAAAGCCTTAAGTCCTTGTCTATCTACAAAACTTACTGGCACCATATTCCTAGGCAAGTTTCCTAACTCCCTTCACTTTAATTTATGAATCTGCGAAAAAAAGAATGTAATATATCCCCTTTTATATGCTTCGGCTTGCTGTTAGTTTTATGTGATTGAAGTAGACGTATAATTCATCCTGTTTTATACTACCTTTATGTTTACTGAAGACATTTTCAGAAAAAAACTAGCAAACAATAGCAGTTCATAAGTAAAGTTGCAGGTGAAGAAGGTAAATGAAACTATATTCATTGCCTAATTATCATAAAAAACATAATGCTTGCCTTATTATTGCATTCACTTAGATTACTAAGTGCCTACTGTCCATTCTATATTCTGGATATTCAAAGATTAATTAAAATTTATTCTTTCTTTCATTATTTAGAATTTAGAAAAGAGGCAGAGCTATAGTCAATGATAATGTAATGTGATAAATTTTGGAATTGAGTAGTACTAGACTGACAATGTAAGTACAGAGAACTACCAGAATCTGTCTAAGAGGGTTGGATAAATGTTTCCAAGAGGAGGTAAACATTTGAGTTATGACTTAAGGTACAATCATAAGTTCAGCCGACTGACACACAGAAAAATACATTTTAAAGGGGAAAGCAGATGCAATGAAACCAACCCATAAGAAAGCTTAATTTTTTCAGGGAACTCCAGGCAAGCTTTTCTGACAACAGCAAAGGGTGTAAAGGAAGGTCAACAGATGAAGACAAAAAAATCAGTTATGCCCATATCCTGGGCACTGTTGACTTTCCTTATGCATGGTGTAAGGAAATGACATGGTCAGTTTTTCAATAAAGCTCTGCCACTCTGGTGATCATATAATAAAATGATGAGACTGGAATGAGAAAGATAAGAGGTAAATGCTAATAGTGCAAGTGAGACTTTATGAAAGCCTGAATTAATACAGAGGAGCAGGGTTAACTGTAATCAGGGGATGTGCATAAAAGATGCTTAAGAGGTAGAATCAGTGAGTCAAGATGGATAAATTCTGGTTGATATTTAGTTAAGACATGTAAAAATGTTCATTTAAGTATGATGAGACCAAAGACTAAGGATCTAATCATGAGAAATGCCAGTGTTAAAGGAAGAAAGAGAGAGAAAAAAAAAACCTGAGAAGTCTGAGTTAAGCTAATGTGAACTTTAGAAGAATTACCAATAGGTAGAGGTATCATAAAAGCCAAAAGAAAAGAAATATTCACGAAAAAGAGGTCAAACAAATCCAAATGCAAAGAAAATTCAAGCAAAATAAGTACCAAAAATTGTTCACTGATTTTGCTAATTTACAATGTGTATTAATGAGGTTTTAAATTACAACCCAAATCAGAGGAGCTTAAGCAAAACCAGTATAATTCACACAGCTGATACATACAGAATTAATGCTGGAAATTTAAACAATCTAATCAAAATGGTGACTCTTCATTCAGTCCTGCTTTTTTCTATGCTGATTCCATGTCTTGCCTATTGAAAGAAACAAAAAAATTGTCTCTCATCTCTCTTGCTTCCAAGCATCTTCAGGCTTACATTCTCTCAAAACTAAGTCCTATAGAAAAAAAAAATTCTTCTTAACAACAATCCTTTCAAACAATCCTTACAAATCTTTGTAACTGAGTCTCCACAGGTCTAATTGGCTTGGCATTTTGCATAAGCCTATTGCTGAAATAACCAGTTACCAATTAGACATTATTTGGATTGGCTGAGCTTCACTGATATTCCTTCCTTAGGCTGACTGAGTCATTTGAATGTACGCTCTATTAGGGCTAGCACAGAGATTCTAGAATCATACCTGACAGTTAAGAAGTGCTCAGTATATAACTGTTAAAAGTTTGCAGTTCCGGCTATGGCAGATAATCTTGTATCAGACCAATTCAACTACCAAGGAAAACTATGAGGACTGGAAAAATATTGATTGAAAATTTAATATTTTCACACATACGCACACACCCCAGAGAGTTTTCTAAGCATCTTCAGTGGCCAAGATCCCATAGAGAAGAGAAAGACAAAGAGGTAAGACCTATATTTGACATCATTTTTTTCAAGTTATTTGCCAATTCACAAGTAGAAGTTAATAGGCCAAGAAATTAAGGTAATCTTTCAGAAGTCTTATAAAACTGGGAAGACAGATGTTGGAGTTCAAAATCTACTATGGTGAAGAAACCCAGTAAACACCTCAGACTTTCAGTTGATACCCCTGAATAGCTACACCTTAAAATAGGTGTACAGTAGAAAAATACCATGAACTTTTTTAAAACTAGTCAATTTCAGCTGAAACATACAAAGAGTTTTGAAGTTGTCACTCCTGTCACTTGATCTAATTGATATTTATACAACACTTCATTAACAACAGCAAATACACATTCTTTTTTTAAGACTAGATTTTATTTTTAGACAGGTTTAAGTTCACAGTAAAATTAAGCATAAGATACAGAAATTTCCTAGATCCCTCCTGTTGCTCCTCCAATACACACAACCTCTCTGACATTTCCCATCACAGTGAATTGGACTTCTTATTTCTAGCACGTACAAAGAAATATTTGAAAGAGATAATTGGGTCAGGTGCAGTGGCTCAGGCCTGTAATCCCAGCACTTTGAGATGCTGAGGCAGGTGGATCACAAGGTCAGGACTTCAAGACCAGCCTGGCCAATGTGGTGAAACCCTGTCTCTACTAAAAATACAAAAATTAGCCAGTCATGGTGGCATGAACCTGTAGTTCCAGCTACTCGAGTGGCCAAGGTGGGAGAATCGCTTCAACCTAGGAGGCGGAGGTTGCAGTGAGCCGAGATGGCGCCACTGCACTCCAGCCTGGGTGGCAATGACACCCTGTCTCAAAAATAATAATAATAAACAAATTATAGTAAATAATAAAGTTAAAAAAGTAAAACCAATAGGAGGTATCACTACAATCCCATCAGAATGACTAAAATAAAAAATAGTACCCACATCATATATTAGGAGGATGCTGAGAAACTAGACCATTCATACACTACTGGTTATAATATAAAATGGTACAGCCACTCCAGAAAATAGTTTGGCTATTTCTTTCAAAACTAAACATGTAACTAGTATACAAACCAACAATTGTACTTCCAGAGAAATAAAAATGTATGTTCACACACACAAAAATACTGTACAGAAATGTTTTTATCAGCTTTATTTGTAATAGCCAAAAACTGGAAACAACCCAGATGTCCTTCTGTAGGTGAACAGTTAAACAAAATGCAGTACACCTGTGCTATGGAATACTACACAGAAACAAGAAGAAACAAGCTATTAATACACACAACAATTTGAATGAATCTCCGAGAATTATGCTGAGTGAAAAAGGTCTCAAAAGTTTAGATACTGTATGATCTCACTTATATAGTTTTATTGAAATGACAAAATTAGAGAAGTGGAGAGCATATTAGTGGTTAATAGAGTTAAGGAGGACATGAGGGCAGGAAAGAAGTGGGTGTGGCTATAAAAGGGATTTTTGTTGTGATGGGAATGTCCTGTATCTTGAGGGTACCGAGCACAGTATTCTGATCGTTATATTATACTATGGTTTTGCAAAATTTTATTACTGGAGGAAATTGGATAAAGCATTTATGTGATCTCTCAGTATGATTTCTTATAACTGGTTGTAAATTTATAATTATCTCAAAATAAAAAGTATATTAAAAATAAATAAGTTACTGTTGAAGTAGTAAATGGAGTGGTGCCAACACCCCCAAATTATATGGACTAGGAGTGAAGAAAGGATAATTCTCCAAAAAACATTATGGTGGCATTACCAGAAGAATGGAGAGTGAATGCTGTGTGCAAGCACACAACTGTACAACATAGAAAAGCATCATAAAATATTACGTATTCTAGTCATTATATGTCATTATTTCATATTTTCATTGTTTTATTATCAAGGATTTGAGAAAACAAATGCGATTTGTCTTGCAATCCTGAAATTGCACACTTTCTGACATAGTTCTTAATTATGCTTGTGAAAAATATACTACTACTTCAGTGAAGATGAGAATGTTTCTGGAGATGGAAGAATAAAATGAATAAATTAGATTTACAAACAGCATCTTCCCATTGACCTCAGATATTGTATAAATTAAAGTTGAGCAAAATATCTAAAATCAGACCACGGTGATAGAGTGTATTAGTCCATTCTTATGCTGCTATAAGGACATACCCAAGACTGGGTAATTTATTTTTTTTAAAAAATGCCAGGCACGGTGGTTCACACCTGTAATCTCAACTCTTTGGGAGGCCGAGGTGGGCAGATCACGAAGTCAGGAGATTGAGACCATCCTGGCTAACATGGTAAAACCCCATCTCTACTAAAAATACAAACAATTAGCTGGGCTTGGTGGCAGGTGCCTGTAGTCCCAGCTACTCGGGAGGCTGAGGCAGGAGAATCGCTTGAACCCGGGAGGTGGAGCTTGCAGTGAGTCGAGATCGAGCCACTGCACTCCAGGCTGGGCAACAGGGCGAGACTCCATCTTAAAAAAAAAAAAAAAAAAAAAAAAAAGAGAGAGGTTTAATCGACTCACAGTTCCAGAGGGCTGTGGAGGCCTCGGGAAACTTATAATCATGGTGGACTGGGAAGCAAACACATCTTCACATGGCAGGACAAAGGAGAAGTGCCAAGCAAAGAAGGAAAAGCCCCTTATAAACCATCAGATCTCGTGAGAACTCACTATCAGGAGGACAGCATGGGGGTAGCCGCCCCCATGATTCAATTACCTCCCACTGGGTGCCTCCTACGACATGTGGGGATTATAGGAACTACAATTCAAGATGATATTTGGGTAAGGACACAGAGTCAAACCACATCACGGAGTAACTAGCCTAATACGTTCTTTAAAGTTATTATTACAGTATTTAAGGTTCTGTTTTGAAGATGCCCTGCCGCTATATTCCCTATGTTCAAAATTGTGTAAGTCTCTCTCGGCTAAGGATGAGAATAGAAACCTAGGGAAGAAGAAATTGGCCAAGTTACCATTAGCATCAACCAGCATTATCTGCACACTCAGAGACGGCATGGCCCTGGACTGTTGAAGAAGCAATCTAAAGCAGAAGTTCCTTTTTGGATTCACCAAAGGCATTTGAACTGCCTGTGAACATGGAAAACATTACTACCTTAGACCACTGAGAAGAGTGTCGCCTGTTTTGAGTGAGTCATATTTTTAACTGGATATGTCACTTTACACTACAATAGTACCACATCTAAGGATCCATTGCAAGATCAACAAAGCAATAGGGCAAACTTTTTAGTGAAGCAAATCCTTAACTGGTTAATTGGCAAAGTAGCTTGTAAGGTATCTTCCTAATTTAAGATTCCACAATTTCGTAAATGGTGATAAATATTAATGATAATGAGAGCTCACATGTGTGTGGTGCTTTATGGTTCAAAAAGCAGTTTCACTTCAACAATTGCATTTTATTCTCACAAAGAGCCCTATGAGGTATTCTTTCTCTTTAACCTATGAAACACCAAGGTTTCAAGAAGTGAAGTAACTCCAGATTATGCAGCTAGTCAGTGGTGGCATGTGGACTTGAACCCAGGTATAACTGTGTACAAATCTCTAGCTTTCTGCAGAGATCAGATTCCAGTGCCAGAGGTGTGATGTAAATCAAGTATTTTCTTGCAAAGAAATAAAATTGGCTCTAAGTTCTCTTATCTACAATTCAATTATATTAAAAAGTGGCTTCGTTATAAATCTGAGAACTGTACACTCAGGGGATGGTAGTCAGAAGACCCTCATTCATTCAATTGCCGGCAATAGCATTACCTGTGTTTATTTTTTGTGGATTCTTTCACAGATCTCAGACGCATTTACACCGCATATTAATAAAGGTGCCTGACAGTAAGGATTACAGACTCAGCATATAAAACAAAAGCAAACAGAGTGGATATATATTCATAGAGATACACACACTCACACACACACACGCACATACTCTTGGCATCTGAATGAAAAGACACTAACTCCTGACTTCCAAAGCCAGATATAATGGTTAATAAGTAAGATGCCATTTTCCTAGGAAGCATACTTTGAAATGGGAAGATAGAATGCTTTTCTAAAGTCTGCAGAAGACCGTTTTTCAAAGTTTAAGATAGTTCTCTACATATGGTTCTCTCTCTAAAAAAAAAAAAAAAAAAAAAAAAAAAAGACTATTATTGATAACTTTTTATTCTATAACAAATTGTGTCTGGCACTGAACTGGGGGAAATTTACATATGTCATGCCTCCTCATTACAAAAATACTATAGGATTGGTATTTTCATCCACATTTAACAGAAGTATAGATTAAGGTTCAGAAAGGTTAAAAGTATAAGCCCAATATATTTTAGCTATAACTGGGACTCCAGCCTGGACAGGTTGAATTCCAAAGTCCGCTTCTTTTCTACTATATCATAATACTCCAATTTGATTTTATGGATGTGATCACCATCTTTTTCCATTTCTTGTCATAGGTAATTGGCTGGTATTAGAATTAGGAATGGCAAGGATATGCTGTTACACCCCTTTTCTGTCATTTGATAGTAGAAGGAAGGGCAAAGTTATTTTTCTTTGAGAAGATAATCATTCAGATACCCCAAATGGAAACAAAGCATCATCTATACAATATAGTCTTGACATAGGGATAAACTTAAAAACCTATGAAGTAGAACTGAGAACCAAATAACCCCCACCTCATACATTTATGGCCAACTCATTTTTAACAAGGGTGCCAACTCCATTTCATAGAAAAAGCATAGTATCTTCAACAAATTGTACTGGTACAATTGGAAAACAATGTATAAAATAATGAATGAACCTAGGCTCCTACTTCATGCCATGTAAAAAAAAATTAATTCAAAATAAATCACAGACCTAAAATTAAGAGTTAAAATTATAAACCTATTACAAGAAAACATAAGGGCAAATCTTCACAAGTTTGGACTTGGCAATAAATTCTGAGATTTGACACTAAAAGCACTAGCAACAAAAGAAAAAATAAATGTTATTCCTAAAAATAAAAACATGTGTATCAGAGGACATTATCCAGAAAGTGAAAAGACAATCTATAGAATTGGAGAAAATATTTGCAAATCATATATCTGATAAGGTTTACTATCTAGAATATAGAAAGCAAACTTAAACTCATCAACAATAAAGCCAACATCCCGATCAAATAAAGGGCGAATTACTTGAATAGACATATCTCTAAAGAAGATATATAAATGGCTAACAAGCATATGAAAAGATGTTCAACATCATTGGTCATTAAGAAAATGCAAATCAAAATCACAATGACATGTTATTTCACACTCACTAGGATGGCTGTAACAAAAAAAATAGAAAAATAACATGTGTTGCTGAGGATATGGAAAAATAAGAATCTACATACATTTCTCATGGGAATGTTAAATAGCACAGCCACTGTGGAAAATAATTTGATGGTTCTTTAAAAGGTTAAACAGAGAATTTCAATATGACCGAGCAGTTCCAGTCCCAGGTATATACCTCAAAGAATCAAAACTGGGTACTCTAATAAGTACTTATTTCTGATTCTTCATAGCAGCTCTATTTGCAATAGTCAAAAGGTAGAAAAAAAACAAATGTTCATCAACAGAAGAGTGGATAAGCCAACTATGGTATATAAACACAATGTAATATTATTCAATCATCAAAAGGAATTCAGTACCGATATATGCTACAACTTGCATGAACCTTGAAATATTATCCTAAATAAAAGAAGCCAGACATAAAAGATCACATATTTTATTATTCTTTTTTATGGGAACTGACAAGAATAGGCAATTCCTTACAGCTAGAACAGAATTAGTAGGTTCCGGGGGATGAGAGTAGGAGAAAATAAAGAGTGATTGTTATTGAGTAGAGGGTAAGGGTATTCTGAGGTGATGGAAAACTTTTGAAACTGGAGAGAGGTAGTGGTTTCACAAAACTGAATGTGTGTACTAAATGCCACTGAATTGCAGGCTTTAAAAGGGGTAATTGTATGTTATGTGAATTTCACTTCAATTTTTTTTTAATTAGCCACTCTGAGCTCAGTCATGACCTTAAAGACCTCTGCTACATTTTTCCCGAGATAAGCTTGAGTAGGCTTTGATATCCATGTTTATTGCATATTTCCTATCTGAATTTCATGAATCCCCTTGTTCACTACCATAGCTAGTTCTCAAGGAGATCAAACACCCCACTCCATTTAGGTGCTGTATATTTAAATAATATTCAAAATGTGCATCTTTACCTAATAAAATGTCCTTATATCCTCAGTCTTTTAATCTGACATTTCTTTTCTAAATTTTGAACTTTGCTCCATAAATATCAAGAGAAAAGCTTTGATAATCAAATCTCTTGATTTCTTCAGAGCCCTGGGAAAATGACCATCCTCAAAGAGAAAAATATTAATATCAAATTGATTTTGTCAGCATTTAAACTGCACCACAGAAAACTATGAAATTTCATTTTGACTAGGCCAAAACTTTTTGCAATTACAAAATAAAAGGTTCAATGAAGAAAATTGAAAAAGTTTAGAAATATTCATCATATTAGCAAACAGCAGCATTACACTATTGTTAACACATTGGCATTAATAAAGCTAAGGGTTACACAATTTTCATGGGCTGACAGGTGTAGTGCAGAGCTAAACCTGGACTTGGAATCCTAATAAACCTTTAAAATTCAGGCTATGTCATCTTTAACATATGAGATGATGTGTGTGAAAGCATTTTATGAAAATACAGTAATTTCCCCTTATCTTCTGTTTTGCTTCTGTGGGTTCAGTTGCTTGTGACCAACCATGGTCCAAACATATTAAGATATTTTGAGAGAGAGAGAGAGAGACTAGATTCACAAAGCTTTTATTACAGCATGTCACTATAATTATTCTATTCTATTATTCTCGTTGTCAATCTCTTACTATACCTAATTTATAAACAAATTTTAACATAGGCATGTGTCTATAGAAAAAAAAACATAGTGTATATATATATATATGTGTGTGTATATATATATATATGTGTGTGTGTATATATATGTGTGTGTGTGTGTGTGTGTGTGTGTGTGTATATATATATATATATATATATATATATATATATATATATATATATATATAGTTTGGTATTATCTGTGGTTTCAGGCATCCACTGGAGGTCTTGGAACATATCCTCTGCCAATAAGAGGGGGCTATTATACCTCCTCAAACCACTAAAGTATAAAGTTTTATTTACATGCTCTCTGTAAAAACTGATGGTGAAAAAAGAAACAACAATTAAAGCTTCTGGATTATGTAATAGCATTTTTAACAAGGATATTCATTCATCCAACATTTATTGGATTTGTTATTGGAAAGTGCCATAATAGGCACCATGGATGAAGAGATAAATAAGGAAGTCTATGACCTCAAAATGTTTTCAGTATGACAAACGCTACAACTTACAGACCAGATGGAGTCAGAGGGCTGATGGAATATGATGCATATGAGGGAAGGGAGTGGCAGATCAAAGAATGCTTCCCCAGAAAAGCATTTTTATTCAAAGCATCACCTCAGGCCTGAGGATGGGTATTGGTTAGGCAAGTCAACAAAAATTGAACTAAACCTCTGGCTGAGAGTGAACCAAGTAAAGGCATTGAGTCAAGACATACATTGTATGGGGAAAACAATGCAAGTATTTCAACAGAACAAAGAATACTAAGTAAGTATCAAATCATGAAGGAGATCAGGTGCCTTGATAAGGAATATGTCCTTCATCTTGAAGACATTTACAAAGAAGCAAATGTTTTAAACACGTGAGACCTTATAATATTTACTGTTAAGTATATAACCTGATTACACTATGACACTGTAGATTGGAAAGACCAGTTTCCAGTAATATTGGAGACTAGACAGTAGACTAGATATGCAATAGAAACCCTTCTAGTACACAAATTTAAGTTACACTCTTAACAATGACTATTGACATTTAAATTACATTTTTAATAATTGTGTGAGCTGTCAGTAAAAGGGAAACTAAGGCCCAAAGTATCAAAAGATCATAATGCATTAATATAGATGAGCTCTGTGGCCTTTGTTCTTTCAGGGGGTTTGGAACATCATATCCTGAGTACTCAGGAGCCTGGGTATTAACTGGCCAGCCACGCATACTATCAGGAACAAGAGAAAAAAGTTGGTGCCCAATCAATGTAGAAGGTTGGACTAGTAACCCTCAATGAAACAAAAATTCCCAGAAGAGAGACATGATCAGATGATAAGATAAAAGATCACAGTTAAAAATTCAGGAAAGTTTCTCTTCAGTTTTAGTTTTTGGATAGAGAGGAGAAAAATCTCCCCTATAATTCCTAACCAGCAATAATTGAATTTTTTAACTTGAACTCATACAACTTGTGGGGTGCCTCTTCCCTCAAAAGGTTAAAAGTATAATTTTAAAGTCACCCTCATTGGTCATACAGCTACAACCAAGTGAAAGGAAATGCAAATCCCCTATGACATAATGCACTTTATAAATAGGTCAAGGAATTCCCACAGGTGAAATTCCCAGGAAATTTTCTAATGGTGAATGAAAATCAAAAACACCAAGGAAATAAATAATTATGAAAAGGATTCTGCATAAACTGAATAATAAATTATATAATAAACTGAAGAATCAAAGTCACAAAATCTAAAAATAACTGAATTATCAAATACAATATATAGAATATGTTTCAAGAGGTAAAAGAAACTAAAGTATCACAAAAGAAATAAGAGACTATCAAACATGACCCAAACAAACTTGAAAAAGGACTAAATAGAAACCCTGGAAATAACGAATTATGTTAATTGAAATTTACAAAACAATAGACAAGTTAACCAGCTAAAGATAGAAATCATAAATTAAATAATAGATCATGAAAAATAAAGATTTCAACACAGAAAGGGGGCAAGATGATATATATGAAAGAGACATTAAGATACATGGAGGAAAAATGAGAATATCCAATATATCTAATCAGAGTTCTAGAAAGAAAAGACTAGAAAGGATGAGGCAAGAGCCATATTAGAAAGAGATATTGGTTGAGTCTTTTGCCTCTGCCTATAATGAAAACGCATCTATCAGACCAATCCTGCTCAGAAGAACTATAGTATCAGATATATTAGTCCATTCTCACACTGCCATAAGGAACTACCTGAGACTGGTAATTTATGAAGAAAAGAGGTTTAATTCACTCACTGTTCTGCAGGCTTAACAGGAAGCATGACTGGGAGGCCTCAGGAAACTTACAATCATGATGAAAGATGAAGGGGAAGCAAGCACATCTTACCATGGTGGAGCAGAAGAGAGAGCGAGAGCAAAGGCGGAAGTGCCGCACACTTTCAAACAACCAGATCCTCTGAGAACTCACTCACTTTCAGAACAGTAAGGTGGAAGTCTGCTCCCATGATTCAATCATCTCCCACCAGGCCCTTCCTTTCACATGTGGGGATTACAATTTGAGATGAGATTTGCGTGGGGACACAGAGCCAAACCATGTCATCTGATAAATAAAACAAAAAGCTGTTTAAAACCATCAGCAAGCAACCAAGGCAGCTAGGACATTAAGTGCCAAGGTCCTAGAAAGAAGAAAATTCTTGTTAAAGGTGAGCTTGACATATTTAAGCTGATTTTTCCTCTCAGGACATTTGCTGACTTGTAAATATCTACAGGTTAAGAATAGGCTGTGGCTCGGCCGGGCGCTGTGGCTCATACCCGTAATCCCAGCATGTTGGGAGGCCGAGGCGGGTGGATCACGAGGTCAGGAGATCAAGACCATCCTGGCTAACACGGTGAAACCCGGTCTCTACTAAAAAATACAAAAAATTAGCCGGGCGTAGTGGCGGGCGCCTATAGTCCCAGCCACTCTGGAGGCTGAGGCAGGAGAATGGCGTGAACCCAGAGGCGGAGCTTGCAGTGAGCCCAGATCACGCCACTGCACTCCAGCCTGGGCGACAGAGTGAGACTCCGTCTCAAAAAAAAAAAAAAAAAAAATGAATAGGCTGTGGCTCAAATCAGAAAAAATGAAGTAGCTGGGCTAGATTTACACTTCCTATTAAAACTAACAGACAAAATACAAGAAAAAATGGCTTTCAAAACATTAAATATTGGAAGGTAAAGAACAGTAACCCCTGAGATACGTGAAACAAATGAAGTGACATCTACAATTACCCCCAGTTTACTGCATTGGGAGAATTTCCAGGCTGTAGCCAACGAAGGGATAATCCCAGCAGAGTTTATAAACTGTTACCAATTTGATAGTAGAGAAACATTATTTTAATTTTGATTTTTTTATCATAAGTGAAATTAAATATCTTTTTTATATTTAAGAACCATTTTAATATATTCTTCATTAATTGTCTGTTCATGTCTTCTGCCAGGTTTCTATAAGGTCTTTTTGTTCTCAGTTTTTAAGGGTCCTTTATAAATTAGGAATCACTTTCTTTTATAATACTTGAGATATATATTATTAACACATTATTTTATTTTGTCATTTAACTTTGATTTGTCATACAACCCTTTTTTATTTGTATATAGTTAAATGTAGTCATTGTTTTTCCTGAATCTGAATTTTGAGGCATAGTTAGAAAGTCTTTGCCTACACCAAGGTTATGCAGGAATTTATTCCCATTTTCTTATAGTACTTACATGCTTTTATTATTTTACATTACATCCCTTATCCATATCCCTTATCCACATAAGCATAAGTTAATGCTTATGTAAACTGAATATAAAGTTTTCATTTTACTAGTTTTTTTCTCAATGTCTATTGTCTATGCAATAGTCCCAGAAGCATTTATTTAAAAGTCCATCTTTGTCAAGTAATTTGAGATCTCACCTTCATCATAAACCAAATATCCATGTGACTTCTGTGTCTTTCTGTACTTCCCATTCCATTTCCCTGACATGTCTATTCATTTAGGTACCAGTTTCACATTGTTTTAACAAGGGGGTTACAGCATATTTTAATATTTGGCAGGGCTCTTGTAGTTTTTCTTTTTCAGTGTTTTTCAGCTATTCTTGCAATATTTATTTTTCAATAGTAGCTTTCGTATCAATTTTCCTAACTTCATAAAAATTTGCTATTTTTATTGAGATTGCTTTAAATCTATAAATTAATTTCGAGGGAACTGACATCTGCATTATAGTAACAGATTCTGTTTGAAAATAAAAACCGTCTTTCCAGCTGAGGCAGGAGGATCGTCTGAGCCCAGGAGTTCAAGACTAGCCTAGACAACACAGTGAGACCCTATCTCTACAAAAAATATATATATAGAAAATTAGCCGGGCGTGGTGGTATGCACCTGTAGTCCCAGCTACTCAAGAGGCTGAAGTGGATGGATCACCTGAGGCCAGGAGTTCCAGACCAGTCTGGGCAACATAACAAGCCCTATTACTATTAAACAAATAAACAAATAATCAACAACAACAACAACAACCAATCTTTCCATTTGTTTAAGTCTACTTTTGTATCTTTTAAGATGTTATAAAGATTTTCTCATATAGGTTTGGCATACTCCTTGTTAAGTTCATCCCCATTACTCCATCTCCTTTGCTACTATTGTAAATAGAGCCTCTCTATTATTATGTCCCCTACCTGCTTATTGTTTGTAAAGCAAGGTCATTGATTTCTACAGGTTAATCCTATACCTGCTATCTTACTGAATTATTTTATTAAGTTTGCTCATTGAGTCTCTAGCATTTCACAGGTATACTATTATATCATCTGCAAATAGAGACACTGTTAATTCTTATCCAATTATTACAACTCTAATAGGTTTCACTTCTCTAATTTCATTTGATAATACCTTCAGTATAATGTTAAATATTATTGAATGTAATTAGCATCTTTGCCTTGATGACCTTGAGGTGAATATGCCTCTAGATACATATATATCTATATCGCTATATATATCTATATAAATATAAATATATAAATATATATCTATATATTTATATTTATATATAAATATATAAATATGTATAAATACAAATATATAATATATATATTTGTTTTAAGAAAGTATTCATCAGTTTTGTTTTTCTCCTTAGATCTGTTAATATGATATATTGCACTGATAGATACTCAAATATTAACCAAACATGCATTCCTGGAATTAACCCTACTGGGTCATAATGTATTTTATTTTCTTATTGTGGTATTGGATTCTGATGGCTAATATTTTATTTAGCATTTTTGCATTGATGTTTATACATTACATTGATCAGTAATTTTATTTTTTCTACTGTCTTCACCATATTTAGGTATTAATGTTACATTTGATTCATAAAAAGAATTTGAACATTTTCCTTGATTTCTTATGCTCTGAAACAATCTATGTAGTATTAGGACTATCTGGACTTTAAATATTTTGTAAACTTCCCTTGTGAGGTTGTTTCTTGATAACAAAGTTGTTTCTTGTTATGTTTTATATGAAAATTGGTTTATTTAAACTTTCTATTTCTAATAGGTTCAATAAATTAATACAGGGTATTTCTCTAGGAAGTCATTTATTTCATCTACGTCTTCAAATATAGTTGCATAAATGTCAACAGCATAGTCTTTTGATTATTTTAAAATTTCTTCAGTTCCTATGACTACTTACTTCATCCTTGTCATTGTCTTGTATTGCATATTTGGGACTTCTCCCATTTTGGGAAATTGAATAAGTTAACTAGCTTATTTTGTTAATTTTTCCTAAAAAATCAAGATTTGATTTATTAATTAGATAAACTGACTTTCATATTTCTACATTGTTAATTTGTGCTTTTATCTTTATTATTTTCTGTCTTAACGTTTCATTTATTATTCTGTGTATAACTTCGTGAGTTGGGAACTTAATAGGTTTATTTTCATCCTTTAATCTTAGTAAGTATTCAAACCTATAATATTTTTCTAAGTGTTGTTGATAGAAGTAATTTTCAATATTTAGGTGAAAGGGTATTTTTATTTTGTGATTGAATTTTAGCTTATTCATTGTGACCAGTGAGTGTTGTTATATTTACAAAACTTTCTGATACTCTCTTTGTGACTTCAAATGCAGAATTGATTTTGTAAATGTCCAATGTGCACTTGAAAAGAAATTGGATTCTCTGATATCAGTATCAGTATCAGTAGATATATTTCCTTAAGATTTAACTTATTTATACTTTGTTTAGGTCATATGTATCTTACTTATATTTTTGTTTCTTGATCTGCCTGGTACTTAGGTTTGGTGTCTTAAAGTTTGCCTTTATTAGTTTTTTTCTAGCTGTGTCTAATTACACTCTTGTTTTAAAAAGGTAGATTCTGTGTGATTTTGTGCGTAAATATCCATAACAGTTATATCTTCATTATGATTTATGGTTATCAGAATTTATAACTACCCTTAATTTTAATGTTTAATACTTTTCTTCTCTTGAATTTTACTTTATTGACATCAATATTGCAATCTGCTGGGCCTTTTTTTATTGCTTCCATTTGTCTGGAAATCTTTGCTCCTTCCTTTATAACATGCTTTATAAATAATTTTATTTTAGGTTTCTCTCTTTTATGAAGCATATAGTTGGGTCTGCTTTATGAGTCAAATTTAAAATCACTTGATATCTGGTTAAACCTATTTACATTTATTGATATGAGTGATCATTTAGTGTTACAAATATTATGTGTACTATGTTTAGTTTCCATGATTTTTATATGTATCATGTGTTTCTCTTATTTTTGTTTATTTCTTTTAGAATTTAGAAATATTTATATTTTATACTTACACAATTGTTAAATATTTGTGGAATTCTATTTCTTATTTAATCTTTACTCTCTGGTTTGTTAGTTTGTTTTAGCGGTACTCTTTGATTTCCATTAAACTGCTTATATACTTATCAATGAGCTTCTTGATTGTATATATTGCTTATATTATAATCAATGAGCTTATTCTACTTATTCCTTGCCTCTTTCTTTTCTTCTATTAGCTACATTATTTTTCCTTTCTAAAAGCATATAATATTTACATATGACATATTGACATATTTACTTCAACCTCATCCTCACCTTTCTTAATCTTACTTATATTTAAAACTAAGTCATTTCTTTTGCTGGAATTTTCTTTTATTTGTTTTTTGGTTGGATGAAGTTTATTCTCTCAAAGTTTGCCCAAAGGAAAATCAAGAATACAATATGCCTCAAGTTATTACATGTTTAAAACTATTTTTATATAGCTTAAGAGACAACTTAAATGGATATAAAATCTTTGGCTCATACTTTCTTTTTTTGATTTTCCTTGAAAATGATATTCCTTTGATACTTTGATTTATATTTTGCTTTTCCTGAGGCCATGAGTATTTTTCTTTACGTTTATAACTAATTGTTTTACTAAAATATGTATCAGGGTTAATAATTTGGGGACAATTCTACCAAGTACCTGGTAGTTTGTTTTTTTTTTTGTTTGTTTTTTTTTTTTTGAGATGGAGTTTCACTCTTGTTGCCCAGGCTGGAGTGCAATGGTGCCATCTCAGCTCACTGGAACCTCCGCCTCCTGGGTTTAAGAGATTCTCCTGCCTCACTCTCCCAAGTAGCTGGGAATACAGGCACCTGCCACCACACCCAGCTAATTTTTGTGTTTTTAGTAGAGACGGGTTTCACCATGTTGGCCAGGCTGGTCTCGAACTCCTGACCTCAAATGATCTGCCCATCTTGGCCTCACAAAGTGCTGGCATTACAGGCATGAGCCACCACGCCCAGCCAGTTCCTTTTAATACATAGACATGGATCTCATTTTACTTCAGAAAACGTTTCTTGTATTAGAGTTGTAAATATTATTTATTTTTCAGTGTTGAATTTTCCATCTTCAGGGATTCCAGTTACAATTATGTTGATTCATCCTTGCCTGTGTTAATTTAAAAACTTTATCTCTGACCCTTTTTACTTTTTCATTATCATTTTCTGAATTTCTTTAGAATATCTTAGTTTTTATTTGCATCTATTCTATTCTTGATTTGCAAGATTGATCTTGTAAATCAGTCTTTACTTCTGATATGATTTAACCTCTTTTTATTTTTTCCTGAATTCAATCCATTCTCAATTCATTTCTTTTTGTTGTTTGTGTTCATTTTTTGTACATAGATTTTGAATATCTGATACAAGATCTTTCTTTATGTGTTTGTTTAAGGATGTATGCTTCAGTATGGAACTATGCATTACAATTTTCTTCTCCCTTCTGGTTGATCCAGAGTGGAGGAATGGCATTTTCTTCACCTGAAAAACTTATATTTAAATGTTGTATTTGCTTTTTCTTATGCTGTTGCTATGGTTTGAATGTTTGTCTCCTCCAAAACTCATGTTGAAATTTAATCCCCAATGTGGCAGTATGTAGAAGTGGAAACTTTAAGAGGAAATTGAGTCATGAGGGTCCTCATGAACGAGTTAATGCATTAATGGGTTATCACAGGAGTGGGAACAGAGGCTTTATAAGAAGAGGAAGAGAGAATTGAGTGAGCACACCCAGCCCCCTCACCATGTGATGTCCTGTGTCGCCTAAGGACTCTATAGAGTTTCCACTGGCAAGAAGGCCCTTACCAGATGTGGCTACTAAACCATGAGCATCTCCCCCTCCATAACTGTAAGAAATAAATTCCTTTAAAAAAAAAAATACCCAGTGTCAGGTATTCTGCTATGAACAACAGAAACTAAGACAACTGCATATGTGAGACTGGTTGTACTTCTGAATTTCTGTGAGCAGGCTGACAGTTGGGTAGTTTTTAAAATGCCTAGTTTAAGACCACTTTTCTGTCAGTGTTACAACATGTAGTTTCTTTAATAGATGGCTGTTTCAGCAGAGAAGAAGGAATGGAGTGTTATGGCCTCCAATTATTTGAATTTTTATTTTTTCTTGTAGGATCATCCATTTATCACTTGTTCTTTTTCTCTTTAGGATGCAGTTTTCAGAGGAAGACTTTTCTCTCCTTTTTACTCTCCTCTTCTCTACGTGTTGCCTTTCTAAGATTGCCTCCTAGAGGCCTCCCTCATCTTCAAGTAACTTATAGTCAGTGCTCAAATTTACTAGAACCTTTTTTCAGCATCTCCTCTCATAAATTGAATTCTTCTTTCTACGGTTAATTTTAGTTCAATTATAGGTATTTTATTTCCCTCTTCTTTCTTCAACAGTTTTTCTCAACCCACCTTGCAAAGGCTTATATTGGATATGTAAAAAGTACCTCCAGTAAAAATTAATATTTACTTTTTCTACTTAATACAATTTTGAAGTTTCTAAGAGGATATATAAATAGTCAAGTTAACATCATGCACCTAAATTTGAAGGTCTTCTAACACATCTTCCAAAAATAAACATCAAGTAAAGCAGAGGTTAGTAAATTGTTTTTCAGTAAAGCAATAAATAATTGAGGATTTTGGGCCATAGCGTCTCTGTCACAACTAATGAACTCTGTAATTTCTCTGACTTACAATTGTATGCAATGTATGAGATTTATGTGGTTACATTTGTTTTCCTGCTTTAGAGTTCAGCGCACTATTGTTCCCAAGCCAAATCTGGCACATTATCTGCCTCAAATAAAGTTTTATTGGAACAGAGACATGCTAATTTGTTTATTAATTATTATGGCTGCTTTCACACTACAACAGCAGAGTTTATTAGTTGTGACAGAGACGCTATGGCCCAAAATCCTCAATTATTAATCCCTTTACAGAAAAACAATTTACTAACCTCTGCTTTACTTGATGTTTATTTTTGGAAGATGTGTTAGAAGACCTTCAAATTTAGGTGCATGATGTTAACTTGACTATTTATATATCCTCTTAGAGAAGTTAATTTTAAGAATTTAACTTTATTAAAATATAAGCCCTTAAGAATTTTACAATAGATATGCTAAAACAAAGCAATACTAGATTTTTCTGACAGTGGATGATATAAGTAATATTTCTAAATACCTGCTGTGAGATAGGCAGTTGGAACTTTGAAGGTATTACAATATTTCATACAAAAACTCAAGTAAATATTCATTATTTTTTCTCTTTCCACAGATGAGGACAGTGGTGCCCAGAAAGTTTGCTTACTTTGTTCAAGAACTTTTTATTGATAAATAGAAGAATTGATATTCCAGCTTAGGACTCTCCAGTTTCAAATTATGTATTCTACCAGTCCTCGTCTGCTAATTCATGAATGTGAATTAGGCAGATTACGCAACTGGTTCAGGTAAGTCTTAAGAATGCTAGATGCCCTTTAAGAATGTTACACTTTTTTCTTCTGTTTGAACTTTTATTATCCCTGATTAATTTGAATGATTTAATTCCACACTACATACTCTAAACCACTTTTTTTATTCCTGTGCCTAACTTTCATGAAGGATAACTGTGTCTACATGAATGAATACCAAGCCAAGTATTCTCAAAAAATACAATATAGTATCAAACGCATCAGGAAAATCATATTAATACCTTGGGGACCAACCCATCCTTCTAACCAGAGAACTATCAAATTTAGCTTCTGCTTTGGTCTAAGTGTAAGACTCTGAAAGCCAGAATAATTAAAGATTTGAAGTTTTCTTTTTGTGTCCCGCATCACAAAGCCTCACAAATCAATGAGAGTAAAAATGGTACATACATGAAAACACACATATGCACACACACATACACACACACACACACACATTACTGACTTGTAGAGCAAAGCATGGTTGCCCCCTGTTCAGAGCTTCTAGAATTGAGAAAGTAGAATGCTTAGACTGTGCTTCCACAAGAAAGTAATCTGAAGCAAAATGTACATGCAGAGTGCCCTGAGGAGCTCTCTGGCATTCTTTATAATATTCACTTTCCATGTAAAAACTGTCAGCCCTTCACTTCACCTCAACTTAAGGAGGTGCTCCCCGAGGCTGTGCCTTTCATTATAACCAATAAACCACTGAGTCCATTCTTACTGCACAAAACAATTTCATATAGCAGAGAATTTGACATAGAAGAAAATCTAGTTTTTACACCAGTTGACTACTACACGTGCAAGGACTCTCTCTAAGCAGACAGGGTTCCTCTGGCTAAGAACTCCTATTTTTAAATGATGTTTTAGGAATTCAGAGGGTGTGCATAATATCCTGCTTCCTTTCTTCTTCCAAAATTATTTTTTCTACAGTAGTCATTGCACAGATACTGTTTTCAGAAACTGCTACTCAGGATATGTTTTCGTTGAAGTGGAAAGGTTAAAGAGACCTTGCAGACCTGCAGTTTTAGGATGGCAACTTATTCCTATAAATAAAGGATGTGACAACAAACTGAATATTTTCCATTTTTGAAAATTATTTTTGGTTCTGGAGTTCACAGGTGACTCAAACCCTCCAAAAAACTCGAAAGAAGTAGATAGTCCTTGTCCCTTCTCATAAGAAAGTCCCCAGTTGAAAAGTAAGTACTTTGGAAGCTGATGAAAAACACTCGAGCCTCTATTACTAAGTGAAAACAAAAAATCTTAACACAAAATACTAAGCTGTCAGGTCTATAAGAAATGTAGCTCTCATAAGGGTATAACTTTCAATTAGAGGGTGGTTTATGCAATCTGAGACTATGCTCGACTAAGAATGCTAAGTGGGAAATATTGATCAGAAGGATAATCTATGGGAGAAGATGAGAGGAAGGCATCAAGTTAGCTGGTAGAATTAGAAGGAGTTATGTAGTAAATTCAGACGGAGACATTCAGTTTAGACAAACTTTAGGGAAGATAGAGTCAAATAAGGAGAGAAATCCGGCTGTACTTTTTAGTGGGTTGCGTTTTTTTTTAAACTACGGGAGTGATGGTAGCTGTGCATATAATGAATTTCCTACTAGATAGATATAAACATATTGATCAAAGCTGCACTGAACATATTCCTTTTTCAGATATTTGTGAAAGGGGAACCTCACCTAACGATAATGGGAATAAAATTTTTAAAAATGCATGCAATTAAAATAAGTAAAAAGTGAGACAACCTCACAAGGACAAGTAGGTTCCAACCATGAGAAGATTTGGGAAAGAGTTTGTATCCCTGACAAAGGAATAGGCCATTTAAAAAACTGACTTATGTATGAAAAAAAGATTAATTTTAGCTTGTGTGTTTGAAGAAGCTTCCAGCTTCTGCTGACATTTTGTTTCTCCTGCTACTAGTCAGAAGTAGGGTTAATAATTCATATATAATATATCCATGTTGTCCCATCTAATCTATTTCTACTTTGCTGCTTGGAAAGGATCCCTAGAAATGAGAAATCCAGGGTGGAGAAAAGACAGACATACATGTTACTGTTGCTTTGAATAAAGTTCAAGGCAATATCTGTAGCCTGCTGCTAGGATTGCTTGCCTGGACTTACATTCATCCAGATTTGGGCCAAGACAGGAGGCAGAGAACAGAGTCAACAAAATGTTAGCAAAATATCGCACATAGGTTCACAGGAGAGTCTATTATTTTTTACAAGTCAGACACCACTGCAAGTCCTGATTCTGCTATTTTTTAATAGGCATCTTTGTCAAATTACACTGTATCTCTAAGCCTCAGTTTACTCATCTTTATAATGATGGTAATAATTATACTCATCTTCCAAGTGGTTGTACGCATAAAAAAATAACGTAGTTAAGGTTTCTATAACTCTATACAAATTTTTGTTGTTATCATTACAAACTTTAGCATGTACTGCATATAGCCCTCATTTTGTACTTGAGCATATGTTTTTAATTCCATAAATTCAGGAACCATATCTTACTCTTCCTTGTCAATGCATACAGTTCCTATGACACTTCTGAGGAAATAATAGAGAAAAAGAGAAGTTGAGGAAGTTTTTGATTGATATCTTCAATTTTTGTTCAAAAGAAAGATATGCTATCTAGTAAGACTAGGAACAAGAGAAGTAAGGAGAGAGATGCATACTTGCAACAATCAGTGAGTCAATAGGAGAAGGAGTGAACCAAAGACAAGTCAAAGCATTGAAAGTGGTACTAAGGGCTCAGCTTGGGTTAGAGAGCATAAATTTACATGTAAATCAGCCCGGGAATTGAAGGTGAGAAAGGAAAAGGCAGATCATTGAAGAAGCACTGCCTGAAGAAGATGTGTAAGTAGATGGCCCTGAAAGAATCTCCAAGTGTCCCACATGTTAGTCTGGTTTGGGCAAAAGCATGTGAGATTTACTTTTCTTCTCATGAAAGTGACAAAGAGAGCAGGGTGACTGGAAGAGTCTCAAGAATATAATGAAGAATCAGGTTAGCATCAGTGACTGTTGAAAGACAATGGACATAAGCAATAGATATGTTACAGAGGCCATTGCCTAACAAACAGGCTAAGTGACCAGTAACCCAATGGATACTATCAATGAACAAAAGATAGCCACAGACAAGACCACCCTTAGAATTAAGACCTCAATTGTGTATCTGTATGTAAATTCTTATCTCATAGAATGGCTGAGTTTATATGGAAGTAATTAGTTTAAGTTACTTTCCATTGGGCAGATTCTAGGCAGCAAATGAGCTTATTTATTAAAAGGAAAAAACTTACATGTTTGCTAAGTGAAGTGACTATGAAATTTGTTTTCACTTTACAAACATTAGTTTTAAAGTGAGATAGGCTAGATTGAAATCTCAGCTCCATTACATTGTAGCTGTGTGACCTTAAGCATATAATGTAATACCCCTAATCCTGAATGTTGCCATGTGTAGAAAAATAACTTGTAAGCTACTTAGTGAAAAAAAAAAAATGAGACTCTGGGGGCCCCAACTAGGGGAGCCAGGTAAATAAGGGAGCTAGCTCAGTTGCTCTGCTACAGGAAAAAAATGAGAATTCAGAAAGTAGAACAAAAGAATAAAGACAGAAAATGCAAATAAACATCATGGCAGGAGGTGGGGGTCTCACTTTGAGACTTTTAGGATTGGGAAGAACTAACACTGAGTTTTAAATTGTGTTACCATAATGAAAATACTTCTATATTCTTAACACCTTCAGTAAAGTCTCATATACACACAAATGCCTTTGTGTGAATAGTTTGTGTGATACTAAGTTCATTAATTCAGCAAACACAAGATAGAAAAATGCAAGACAAATAGAATGACACAAATAATCCTTAAAATCAACTAATTCAGTGGAAGTAGTTGGAAGCCACAGAGAAGTATAAGAATGTAAGTTTCTAGCAATAGGCAAAGATTCTAGAGAGGTTTATATTTATGCAACATATAAAATAATGGGTTTATGAAATCATTTCTATAGAAATAACCCCCATCTCCAATCTCTTAGTCTTCTGTATTCTTCTTTGTGGTAAGAGTACACTCTTTGCATTTTTTATTTGTGTGTTGTCTATTCCTCGCAAAAAAATGTAAGTGCCATGAAAATAGTTTTTCTTAATCACTATTGCATCCTTGTAGATTACAACAGTGCCTAGAAAGTAAGTATTGAATGACTGAAAGGATGATTACATATGTAGATCTTAAGTTGTAAGAAGAAGTTGGCTAACCTCTAAATTACACATATAAATAATTATAAAACAAAAAGCCCACCAATACTGGCTGATAACATGGGAGAACATGAGTTAGAGGACTGTGAAAGGGAAAGAAGGATGGAAGAGGAGATGTACCATAGAAAAGTACCAACAGGAAGATAGGATTGTGGGTTGGCAGTAGGGTAGATGGTTCTTCCATGGGGAATAAAACTCTTTTAGGGTAGTTCTATCAGTCAGCTATTATCACCATAACATTGCACACCAATTCACCTCAAAACACAGTTGCAAGCAACAATAAGCAGGTGAGCTGATGTTCAACTGATCTAGACTGCACAGCTGAACTGAACTCCAGGCAATAGGTTCATTTCAGGAATGCTCAAAGTATTTCCCATTTTTCTGGGACCAGTAGGTCATCTGATTTATATTTTTTGCTTTTCTTAATTTTATTTTTTATTTTGTTTTTTTTTCTTTTTTTGATCCATTTTTTTTAAAGGAGAAGATAAAAGCTCAAAAAGTTTATGAGAATCATGAACTGGTCTTCCAGCCTACACTTAGCATCAGCACACTGTCTTTTCTGTCAACACTCCATTGGCCAAAGCAAATCACCTGCCCAGGCTCGATATCAGTGAGGCAAGAAAGTTGAGGTTATGGAGGTTAAGGGAAAGCAGAGGAAGTGTAGTGAATATTTGCTGCATGATAATTTAAGCTTCCATAGGACGCTGGCTGATAATCACAAATCCAAAAATCTTGTTTTTTATTATTAAGTTCTAGGGTACATGTGCACAACATGCAGGTTTGTTACATATGTATACATGTGCCATGTTGGTGTGCTGCACCCATTAACTCTACATTTACATTAGGTATATCTCCTAATGCTATCCCTCCCCCCTTCCCCACCCCACGACAGGCCCTGGTGTGTGATGTTCCCCATCCTGTGTCCAAGTGTTCTCATTGTTCCAAAATCTTAATTGGCAAATCTCAGACTTGACAAAGGTTTATTTCTTACATTACTGTTCATTGTAGATCAGTGATGAGGAACATTTCTCCATAGTCATTCAGTGACCCAGGGTTTTCCGTCTAATAACTGTTCCATTCTCTTTACTCCATCCTTCAAAAATGTACCATCCAGTAGAATCGCCATTATCCATATATGACCCTTTAGCGCTTGAAATGTACATGTAGTCTGGATTGAAATGTGCTTAAAGATAGACATTGAATTTTGAAGACTTGGTATTAAAAAACAGAATATGAGCTATCTTTTAAACAATTTTTATATTGGTTACATTTTGAAATAATATATTGTATTAAATAAGTATATTATTGAAATTAATTTCATCTGCTTGTTTTTACTGTATTTATTTACATTTATTTATTTATTTATGTATTTATGTATTTATGTATTTATTTATTATTTTTGAGACAGAGTCTCCTTCTGTCTCCCAGCCTGGAGAGCAATGGTGTGATCTTGGCTTGCTGCAACCTCCGCCTCCTGGGTTCAAACAATTCTCCTGCCTTAGCCTCCCAAGTAGCTGGGATTACAGGCGCTCGCCACCACTCCCTGCTAATTTTTTGTATTTTTAGTAGAGATAGGTTTTCACCATGTTGGCCAGGCTGGTCTCGAACTCCTGACCTCAGGTGGTCCAACCACCTCGGCCTCCCAAAGTGCCGGAATTACAGGCATGAGCCACCGCACCTGGCCCTTTTCACTGTTTTTAATATGACCACTGGAATATTTTAAATTATATATGTGTTTGCTTTATATTTTTTATCAGATAGCACTGCTCTAGAGCCAGCCACTATACCAGAAAAATGAAAATAATGCTGAAGGGACTTTAACAAAGATTTTGGGGACCAACTGGGAGAGGGCATTCATCATTCTGCTAGTATTCCACTGGCCAGAACTATCTAGGTGCAAGGGGACAAAGAATGTACTGGATCCAGGAAGAAGAGTAGAATACAAATACTCATGATCATTTTAATTCCTCATTTGCTATCTTGCCTTCAGCATCTGAAAGTGAATTTCTTTCTATAAATACAGAAAAATAAATAAAGCTTTGGATATGGGCCAAGATGTTGCATCACAAAAGAGGAATGAAATAGAGCGGAAAGCATAATGGAAGATCCATTATAATTGGGGAAAAATTGTTAAAGAAAAAACAATGAAGGCACCCATCTAAGTGGTAAATGACCCAGACTCACAGGGTAACACAGACATTAAAGACTCAGATCTCTGGCTGTGAGATTACTATTCTTCTCCCACTTAGGTTTTTTGGTGGGTTTTTTTTCCAATCCCAGTGGTTAATTTGATAGACAATGAGAACAGGGATATTGCAAAACATTTGCTATTTATATGTAACCTCCAGATTCCATTTTTTATTACATAAATACATAAAATATACTGTATTTTGTTTTGTATCTCTTAAATTTTCCCAAATAAGCTTGTATTAAGAATGCTGGTGAGATTAGGCTGTGGCCTACATCAGTTCTCTGCAGCATCAGGGTTTTAGGAGCAGGTAGTAAGGGAGCAAACACAATAATCTTAAGTTTGCGATTTCGTGGACTCACGGGAAGAGAATGCCTATCATTAGTGTTTATATAACTACCCAGAGACATGATTTTCACATCCTAAAATACCTCTGCTCTATATTTTTCTTCTTAATATAATTTTTGTGAAGTTTTCAAATCTTCTAAGAAACATAATTCTACAGTATCTATTTCAGCAGAGTATACCACAAAGAAACCCTGTTCTTGGTGAATCTGCAAGTTTGTCTTCACCTGTTCTGTGCTGTTGTCTTGCTGTGTTGTGTTAACATTACTCTCAAACCATTTTTTAATGACTGGAGATGGCCATCAGCAAACTAATGATTACTCCTCCACCAATCTCCTCTCATCTATTCTTTGAGAAACAGACAGCAGCTTTTTTTGTTTTTGTTTTTGCAGCTATCTCAATACAAAATTAACATTGCTTGTGAATCATAACCTTAATTTCTTTGTATTCATCTGACTGGTCCATTCAAAAACACATTTTCTTTAGTGTGTAGTATTAGCATATTATTCTAATCCCTGCGCCTTTCCTATATGGTATGAGGAGCATGTTTTAAGAGTTACCCTGGTCTCTAACTCTCTACTTCCCTTTCTTGGATAAAAGAACAATTCCATTTGGCTGGCAAGACCTAACCCTTTTTCTTCTGGCAGGAGAAATAGATAGATAGATAGATAATGATGATAGATAAATAGATACCCTTATTACTTTGTGATAGTTCCACAAACATAAAGCATATTTCATAAGTCAGAACAATTTTTCCAGAAGACTCTATATTAAGTTTAATACATTAATTCCTTTAACAAATATTTAAGTGATGATAATGTGCCAAACACTTAGGCACTGGGGATATGGCAGTGAACAATAAAAAAGTTTCCTTGCCTTTATGGAGCTAACAGTCTATCAGAGAAAATTAGAAAATTAAACAAATAGTTGGATCAGGTGTTACAACAGAGCTAAGACAGGTTGTTTTCCAAGGAAGAAACATATAACTAAAAGATTAAAGAATGAGGAGATGGTATGTTAAGAGACAGAGAACAATGTCCTAGTCAGAAGTGCAGCATGTGTGAAGGCCCAAGAATAAGAGAGAACATCTCAGGTTGAAGGAACTACGTGAAACATATTTGAACAGAAGGGTGGTCCACAAGGGAGGAGCAATGAGACAGGAGTGCACAGTGGTGACCCAGAGGAAGGAGAGGTAAACTCTGCCTAGGGACAGAAGACAAGCCATGATAGCTTCATGGGAATTAAGTTTGATGTGCAACTTGACCAAGATAGAAGCAGATTTGCAGGTAAAGGAAACAGTAGTAAGAGGAAAGGCTCATGGATATGAATGACGAGTAACTTTTCCAAGTGTATCTAACTAGTATGCAACAACTCCAGGGCAGCTCCACTACAAAGTCTATGCTCTAACCCCATAAACAGCTTTGGGGCCATTTTAGGGCATCAGTAAAACATGTAGAATCAAACAGCCCTGTATCAAATATTGTTCTCCAAAGAAACAGGACCAAAAGGAGATAGGTAGATATATACAAAGACATTTGTTACAAGGAATTGGCCCATGTGATTATGAAGGCTGAGAAGTCCTGTGTGATCTGCTGTTTGCAAGATGGAGTCTCAGTAAAGCTTTGGTGTGGTTCCAGACCAAGCCAGGGCAGGCAGTCCTGTCAGTTGCTGTTGGAGTTTGAAGGCCCAAAAACCGGGAGCACAGCTGCCCAGGGGCAGGAGAAAATGGAAGCCTTAGCTCAAGCAGAGGGAGCAAATTCCTCCTTCCTCCATGTTTTTGTTCTATTTAGGCCCTCAAAAAATTGGATGATGTCCATCCACCCTGCTGAAGGTAGACCTTCTTTACTCAGTTTACAGATTCAAATGCTAACCTCTTCCAGAAACACCCTCACAAATGTGCCACAAATAATATTTTACCAACTATCTCAGCATCCCTTAGCTCAGTCAAGCTGACTCATAAAATTAACCATCAGAAGCCCTGAAGTAGCTGGTGTGTCTTTCGACCTAATGATAATCTGGCTTTGCTTAGTTCCTTATCATTTGTGATGGACTTTCCCATTTAATTTTCACACTGGCCACTGAGCCTGCTTTTCTTAGGCACATATTACAGATATAAAAACAGAACCACACGTGATTACCCATGGTCACACAACCAGTGAATATTAAGTGAAACCTAGACCCAGATCTTCATATGTTAAAACATTGACTCTTTATATTAAGCAACACTAAACATTAGGTCAACATTAAATAATCCAGCCGATACAAATTCAGGACTAATAGAGCTATGGATCCTATAATACCAAAATAGTTGTAAGTTTGAACACTATCAAAGACTCCTAATTTCTGCCCCTTTGTCTATCAATAAACGAGAAGCAAACAAACAGAATTGTTGCTCACATCAGAAGCATAGAAATTTACTATCTTGTAGAAATCCTTCTGTAAGATAAAGGAAAAGCAGTGCATTTGTAACAGTGCTCTGAAGGTAGTTGAAGAAATAATTTTAAGTTGCATCAGGTATTACCAAGAAGTGAAATAATGATTAGTC